>NT_187593.1:0-180306 GCF_000001405.40 Homo sapiens
GAATTCATTATTTTAGCTCTAACTGCAGAAGAAAATGTTCTTCCACAAGGACAGATACCCTTTCAGGAAGGACAGAACGGACACCAGATCACACACTGTACATTTGTATCTATGTTTAAGAATTCAGAACAAAAATAATGAAGCGGAATGAGTTTAGGTGTAGTTCAGAAATTTGTACTTGAGCTAAAAACACGAAAGTGTTGCACAGGCATGTAGTAAGGGGGTAACAAGGGTCTATTATCAAGATATATGGGTTAATAATTTCAAGGGGTTATTCAGGAATGATCTGCTATGATTGAAACCATGTGTGGAGAGTTTGGGCTTCTGCAGGATGTTTCACAGCAACAAAGGGCCCAAAGATGTATTTGTGCTGCCTGCTAAGTATACAGATGATTGACTCAGATACACTTCCCAGACATAAACAGTGAAGGAATGTCACTGAAGTTCTAAGTTCTGCATGCTATCAGATAGAGATGAAGAATGCTTACCACATTGTACAGGCCGATGCACCAACGTTCAAATAAAATCTGCCCAGAAAATCCATTAACAAAGGCGAACCAAAGCTGAAAGAGAAGAAAGCTCATGAAGTTTTATATCAATATTGACCTAAATGTTTCCATTCACTGAAGAAGTAGCGGGAATGTGGACCACCAGCTGGACACAGCTGCTAAGGAATCATGAGCCACAGGGACTGCAGCAGTTGTTCCTTTATAAAACATAGATTCCCGATATCACAGAAATCCATATTGTAAGGAAAATTTATATTTAAGGCATACATCTACTTTCAGAGATAATATGCACATGTTCATAGAAAAATAGATTTAATTTGCATTTAATAGGTTTGGTATCAAAACTTTCTCATTGACTGGAGGAGTCTCAGCTTCACACTCTTGTTTTTCTCTAAAGTTGATTTGAGAAATACGATGTGTCTTTGCCGGACTTTCAAAGAGATATAAATCATAAATTAAAAACAACAACAAAAAGTCCTCTGTTCTGTGTGTTCTGAGTTCATAAATTATTGACCCTCCTTAATCAGATGTCTACCACCTTGACCAAGGTCAAAACACAATCATATAAAAGAAACATGTTCAAATCATTTTTTGAAGTAATGAGAGATGTATAAATAAATAGATAAAATGTGGGCTGTTATTCATGCCTTCAAGTAGTCTATGATTCTAACCGATTAGGCAAGACTGATATAAAAACAACTACAGAGCCAAGTGCCAGGATATAATTAGTGTACATGACAAGGGATAAAACACTGTCAGAGACCGGGCGTGGTGGCTCATGCCTGTAATCCCAGCACTCTGGGAAGCCGAGGTTGGCGGATCACCTGAGGACAGGAGTTTGAGACCAGCCTGGCCAACGTGGTGAAACCCCATCTCTACTGAAAATACAAAAATTAGCGGGGTGTGGTGGCACGCACCTGTAATCCCAGCTACTCGGGGGGGTCTGAGGCAGGAGAATCGCTTGAACCTGGGAGGTGGAGGTTGCAGTGAGCCAAGATAGTGCCACTGCACTCCAGCCTGGGCGACAAGAGCAAGATTTCATCTCAAGAAAATAAAAACCAAAACAAACAAACAAACAAAAAAAACAAAAAACACTGTCAGAAAAGGAAAGATCATCCAGATGTAATCTGAATACACGGAGGCAGCAGGACTGGGGTAGAAGAGGGCCGAGCCACCGGGAGGACAGAAACCTGACTTAGAAGGAAGCAAACATGAAAATATGGAATTCAAAAAGTTGCTGCTGAATATTCAGCTACATTTATATGAGATGTGATCATCCAGATGTAATCTGAATACACGGAGGCAGCAGGACTGGGGTAGAAGAGGGCCGAGCCACCGGGAGGACAGAAACCTGACTTAGAAGGAAGCAAACATGAAAATATGGAATTCAAAAAGTTGCTGCTGAATATTCAGCTACATTTATATGAGATATGAGAGTCTGATTGAGGGCAGACTTTAGAGTGTCCCATACAAATCATAGAATCAACGTTATCTGTGTCACATCATCACAGACAGAGACCGCTGCTGTGGTAGAACCTAACTGGCAACATAGAACAGACACCATGACAACCAGAGTTGAGGTCAACTCTGGTACTGAAATTTTACTGAGGCAGATTTTTCAAAATCAGTTTCTTGACTCCACCAGACTGCGTTTCTTGAAGCAGGAATTCTTCCCCATGCTGCTCTGTGCACTACTGTATCCAGTATGATACTTGGTACAAACAGGTACTCACCAAGTCCCCGTGAGATCAAATTAAATGCCAAATCAAGTGCTAGATGAAGTTTTCCTTAAATACAGCTTTCACCTTGTCATTACCCTGTTCAAAAAACTACTAGGGCTCCCTCCTAAATCCAAGATAAACTTGCTGACTTTCAAAAATCCTTCCACACTTCTATTCACTCTTAATTTCTTTTTCCTTTAAAACTTTTTATTTTATTGTAAATTGACCCTTTATAACTGTATGTATTTATGGGGTACAAAGTGATATTAAAGTTTCCAAGTTCAGTGTAGAATAATTAAGTCATTCTAACTAACATATCTATCACCTCAAATACTTATTTTGAGGGTGTGAGAATATTTGAAATTTACTCTTAGCAACTTTGAAATGTACAATGCACTATTAATTATATTCACCACACTGCACAATGGATCTCAAAAAACCCCAAACAACTTATTCCTCCTGTCCGAGACTTTGTACCCTTTGACCATCACCCCAATTCCCTCCATCCTCTGTCATCACCATTCTTTGTAGGATCTGATGCTCTCTCTCCTAGTCACTCAATTTCAACTACCCTTCCAAGAGGTCTGGCTATTCTCGGTGAAGAAATATTGGTGAAGAACTAAGAACCAGAGATTCATGCTGTGTTCTGTGCTTGGAAAATTCCTACAACATTTATTCAAATAATAGCCATCCCTAAAACCACAATTTCAACCCCACTCTCTCCCTACCACTGGAGGTCTTGGCAGTCAATACTTCAACCACACTTTTAGTGCAATGAGAGCCTGGATCCACATCAGATTCAAACACATTAGTAAACTGTTTCAAGGGTTTTAAGTTAATTTTCCCAAGACTGTGCCATAATTCTGAGTTCTCCTATTCAAACAATTGACCAAAAAGATATCTAGTGGGTATTTTATTTTATTGCAAAATCCAGTTAACATGTTGTCTTGTTATCAACTAAAAATAGAAAAAACAAATAAAAATAGAAAAGAGCCTGGGCATAGTGACTTATGCCTGTAATCCCAGCACTTTGGGAGGCCAGGGGGAGAGAACTGCTTGAGCCCAGGAGTTCATGACCAGCCTGGGCAACATAGTGAGACCCCATCTCTACAAAAAATAAAAAGTTAGCTGGGTGTGGTGATGCACACCTCTGTAGTCCCAGCTACTCGGGAGGCTAAGGCAGGAGGATTCCTTGAGCCTAAAAGGTGGGCAGCAGCAGTGAGCTCTGACCATGCCATTGCACTCCAACCTGGGCTATGGAGTGAGACCCTGTCTCAAAAAAAAAAAAAAAAAAAAAAAAAAAAAGCAAACACATACACAATGAAACTATGAGTAGCTTTAATTAAAACTACAAATGATATACAATAGATGCAAACAAATATGATCAGATTAGACCAAATCAAGAGAGAATGCCCACAGCAGACCGAATCTACAGATTAAACCAAGTAAAAAAAGTTTTCAAAGAAATAGGTGAAACAACGCAAGAAATAGCCAAACCAACTCTAATTTAGAGGATAAAATAGATAAAATATAGAGGTCAGGGCAAGCAGAGGCAGAGGTTGAATCCTGGATGGATTCAACACAGCAGGCAAATTAAAGCTGAAGGGCAATATGCTTTTTCCCTCCTTTTTTTCAGGAATCAATCAGGGAAGACAGCAGGGCAGTATAGAAAATATAAATGACAATCAACTTGGCAGACACTGATCAAGTAAGTTTCAAGGTGAACTGAAAAGAAAAAAAATGCAGAATCATCCAAGAGAAACCTATAACACACAGAAATTTCCTCTAGGGCATACAGGCCTCCTCTCCTAAGGGAAAGAAACAACAGCAAGGGAGGTGCTTATGATTGCAAAGTGATAGGAGACCAGAGCAGGAAGTGCTCCAAGACAACTTGGAATCCCCTTTCCCCTAGACATCTTCCAAAAATATTATAGAAAAAAATAAGAGGATATGACAAACGCACATGAAATAATCTTTCCAGGAGAACAAGCCACACGGCCGAAGAAAATCTCAAACATTCTTGGTGAGACTAAGAGAGCTAATGAAAAAGTGAATTTTCTTTGCAACGAAAGTTACAATAAGATGTCTAATATAGCAAAGAAAGAGACAAATAGGAAGAGGTCATTGTTACAAACTGAAGCTACCCTAAAGAGAAATGAAAGCCAGAATTGACACTGCTAGCAGGGTTCAGTGACTCATGTCTGTAATCCCAGCACTTTGGGAGGCCAAGGAGGGTGGATCACCTAAGGTCAGGAGTTTGAGACCAGCCTGGTCCAACATGGTGAAAACCCATGTCTACTAAAAATACAAACATTAGCCAGGCGTGGTGGTGCACACCTGTAATCCCAGCTCCTCAAAAGGCTGAGGCAGGAGAATCACTTGAACCTGGGAGGTGGAGGTTGCATAGAGCCAAGATTGCACCACTGCACCCCAGCCTGGGTGACAGAGCAAGACTCTGCCTCAAAAAAAAGAACTGACACTGCTGAAACCACACGTAGAGATAGGTAGTAAAGCTTGAGAACACAATTCTCAGCAAAGGTCAGAAGACTTTAAAGATAAGCAAAAAATTCCCAAAAAGATGTATTTTAAAAAAAGAGGAAAATAGAAGTTAAAAAAATGTTCAAAGATATAACAGAAGAAAATTTTCTGAAATACCCTAATCAGCCAGTAGAGAGGGGATCCTTCATCCTAGGAAACAAAACAAGCAACAGACACAGAAAGATCAATACCCACACATGTCCTGCTATAGAAATTAATGAGTTTTAAGATTTTATAGGATCAATTCTTCAGTATATTCAGACAGAAAAAGTAACAAAGAGAAAAAAATCAAGAAGTCTTCCTACTTCTCTCTAGCAGTACACAATACCAAAAGAGAGTAAAAGATGTTTACAAGTCCTTAGGGAAATAAAGTGTGATAGGAATTTTAGTAAAAGATAGAAACCAAGGAAACATCAAAAGCTGAAAAGTAACATAAAATGTGATGACAGAAGTAATATTAAACACGTGTCTTATATTAATAATAAAAAATAAAAGCTCAGGTGGGTAAAAAGATAAAATCCAAAATATATGCTACATATAAGATAAACATGTCAAATGAACATGAAAAAGACACTATTCAAAGAAGATCAGTTTCTTAGCTTGGATTTACAAAGCCCAACATACAATAAAAGTTCAGATGGATAAAAAAATAAAATCCAAAATATATGCTACATATAAGAGAAACATGCCAAATGAACATGAAAAAGACACTCTATTCAAAAAAGATCAAATTCTTAGCTTGGATTTACAAAGCCCAACACAATCAGGCCCCCACCTATCTTTCTGACAACACTGCATCTCCTCCAGTCAGCTACAGTGGCCTTCTGTTGGTTCCTTGCAGGCACCAAGTACGGACCCAGCTTTATTATTTTGCACCTAAATATCAGCAATTATGTCAACAGCATTTGTTTAATAAGTCATCTTTATCCCACTTGTTTGAAATGTCCCTTATCACATGATAAATTACCATAGTATTTGGAAAAGAATATGTAGTATTTCAGTCTCTATATACTCAAATGAATTTCAGATGCCTTGAATATTTAAGCACAAAAAACAAAACTCTGAAAGCATTGGAAGAAAACATGAAAACCATTATTTTGCTCTATGTGAAACATGACTCCTGTAAGACATTAAACTTAGAAATGAGGGACAAATTTGAAACTAATTTCTATAAATACAAATATTAACAAAGTTGAAAGAAAACTGATATTAAATGAATAGTACACACATATTTGGAATATCTATGAAAACAAAGGCCCAATTTCTTCAATATATAAAAAGTTCTTACAAATCAGACAGAAAGAACCCTACAAGCTGCTAGAAAAATGGGCAAAGAGTATATGGAGTGTGATCACAGGGGGAAGAAAAGGCTTAGAAACACAGGAAATCTCATTTTTATTAAACATGTACACAAATGGATATAACTGTTTTTCTTATCAGATGGGTAAAAATATAAAAGTTTGGTAAACTGGGGAAACAACACTGTAATACCCAGCTGGTGAGATAGCATTGTCTATAAATATGTTTAATTTAGTTTTCGTTTGAACAAGTGATTCCACCTGTAGGGACATACTCTAAATTATACCTTATAGCTCTAATCACATAATATTCAACACAAAAATATAATGGTATGGCATTATTTGGAAAACAATGCCACACCCTTATATATGGAAAACAAAGAACTAGAGCCTGCATGTATATTGAAAGCTGGTTAAAGAAATTACGGCTCATCCTGTAATGAACTCTAAGTAAGTTTAAAAAGATTTAATTTTAAATATAAGTCCCCATGCACTGCAAGATAAGAATCTCACAGATACATTAAAAATGAAAAAATAAGGGTAGTATTGAATGGCCATGACTGTGCAGAACAGATGTACATACTCATATATGCATGGCAACTTTCTGGGAAACATAAGGGATCATTAATATTCATCATCTTTAGGTGGTAGAAGTGTTCTCTGGGGGAAAGAGGGAGACTTGTTTAACACATTCATGTTTTATTTATATAGCTGTTTCTAGCAGTAATTCTCAGCTAGGGGTGATTTTGCCTCTGAGGAGACATTTGACAGGATCTGGAAATGTTTTTTACTGTCACACCTTGGGGGAGGAGCCTACTGGCATTGAGTGGGCCAAAGATGCTGCTGCTAAACATCCTACAAGGCCCAGAAGAGCTCTCTACAGCAAAAAATCATATAGTCCAAAATGTCAATAATGCCACTGTTGAGAAACCCTAGACTAAAGAAATAAGTTTATTTGGTCAACCCGATACAAAACTTAGAAATCTTGTTTCTAACAGATGTTTGTTACAAACAAAATAATAACATGTGGCTGGTTGCATGAAGCCATGATTCTGCTTATATGTATGGGAGCTTGGGTTTAGAAAGCTTTACTCTTTTTCAAATAAAAAGGAATAACAGATTCCTATAACTGGATATGAATCTGCTACCTTCACAAATTTGGATCCTGAAAACAAACACATAACTTTGTAAATTATTAATGAGAAATTATTTCAAAGACTGAGTGAATTCGGTATAATCAAGACACGCAAGCTGTTGAAAACATACGAGGGGGTAAAAATCTTAAGAAATCTAGCATCTCCTTCCATGAACTGACCTTGTTGACATTAACATTGTTCCAAGCAATACTGAGTCATGTAAAAAGTTTCATTCTTCATTTCATTTAACATTGTTGATTAGCTGAATGTTGGGATATTTCCTCTAAGCAGCCAGTGTTCTGATTCTGTCCAAGTTGGCACTGGATTGGCCACATGTTTCTTCAAAGACTTTTGATATGTTTGCACTAATTTTTATCAGTTGCAGGTGCTGCAGCTTTTTGAGAAGCATAAACAAGCTCATTCTCAACATTTTCAATTCAATTTCAATCTGCATTCAAATAATCCATCATTAGATGATTGGACCTGTTTATTTCATCGAAACTATTTACTTGGTAGAGAAAAAAAAAAACAAACCCAAAGCCAACATAAACAAAACAAACAAAAAAATCCACTTCTTAATTTTAAAATCCATGAGCTGGTTTTCCCTTACATTGAAACGCTCAAATTTGATTTCATTTTGGCAAGGTTTCCATAGGTGAAATGGGAAAAGTATGAGAAGGCAGTGTATTTTTAAATATTTATACAAACGTACTTAGCTTTTATTTTATTTATTCATGAGACAGGTAAACGATGGCTCTCTGACACATTATAAAATCAGACTTTCACACTAGTAAGTCATATACAAATGTTAATTCATACACCAAAAAGACAGCACCACCCAATTCCTAAATATAAATGTCATTTTTGGTGGGCCACAAGTTCCCAGCTGTGTACACTAAACGCAGAGCCTTCAATACAAACAGACTGTCCGTCCCCCATTTGACGTGCAGTTACTTGGATGGTGGCTTGCTTATAGCCACTAAATTTTACTCTTGGACTAATGGGAAAAGGATTCCTCTGCCTTTAGTTTCTTGTTAACTAGGAATGCTGTTAAATGAATACAGTCAAAGCCCAGAGAGCCAGATCCCTGCAGGATGGCCTCAGACTTGGTGAGCTGGTAGGAAGACTTGCCAAGCACTGCTGGCTTGCCAAGCTCCTGGGGTTTTTGGTCCTCAAATGTAGTGTTGTTATGAGCAAACTGACCCAAACTTATTAAATGGCTTTTCCTTCTTGGAAAAAAAAGACCCTTCTTTGCTTTAACTGCTGCCTGACTGCCAAAAACACAGTAACCGTCTTGGCTAATTGCACAGGCTCCTGTCTGGACGTCCCGCTGCCATCGTCCAACCTCGGCGGGTTGTACCTGCCGCCACTCTCAGGCTCTCAGCTAACAGCCGACACTTAACAAACGACTACTTAATGTGGAAAAGGGATGACCTGTTCTTCTATTTACTCTGCTCTTTCAGGATCCCTGGTAGAGGACTGAAGTGAAAAAGTACCCTATGGAGAATAATGAGGTAAATTAACATATGGTTTCTTACTGAAGTGGCAATAACATCACGATCTACTAATTTGCATATCAGGTCTGGGCTGATAAACTGGCACCAAAGATATCTGTTTAAATGTCAAAATGCTTCAGGTTTTTTTTGAAATTTGATCTGGCCATATGTAGTAAGATAAAATATAAACATATACTTTGTCTAGAAATTCTATTTCTGGAAATCCACTTCTCATAAATGAAAGCAGCGGTATATAAAAACCCATCTTGTTTTGCAGTATTGTTGGTAGCAGAAAACAAAATAGAAAGCACAGACAAAAAAAAAAACAAAAAACCCTGAAGTTCTTTAGTAGGGGGTGATTGCAGCAAATCTATGAACTAGAAACACCTATCTTTTAAAATGTTAAATTTATAAATATGGAAATGAAACAATGCCCAAGAAACAGCATGAGATTGACAAAGGAAAAGGCAAAATAAATAAATAGGTAAGTAGGCAGGAAATCAAGGGAAAAAGATCAGAAATGCTATTATAGAGCAAAGGTTGTCAGGAATAATAATAACAGTAGTAGTAGTAAGACACCCTAGAGAATCTTTTTCTGTTCAATAAATTATGGGATGGAGTGGCCAGAATTAAATGGAGACCAGAGAGGATACCGTGATAATGACAGGGCCTCATCTATAAAATCTTTGGAGAGTTTTCTATTGCTGACTGAGTCTTGGGTAGGTAAAATGCCAGCAGCAAACATCACATACTAATAACACTTCTAAGGACTTTTCAAGGCAAACCAACAAAGTTACAGAGCAATGCACAGAATCCATTTTTTTTTTGTAAAAACCACAACAAAAATGCTGTATGTTTACATACATTTGTATGAGTGCAAAGAAAAGTATGAATGGTTGGCCAAACTGTTTCTATTGATTCCTGAGCAGACATGGAGCCAGAAGAGGGCAAGTTATTTTTTCCTTATACATTTTTATTATCAGTGTAACAAATAAGCATCACTTCAACTTCAAAGAATTATGTAGAAGAAGAGAACTTGCTTGTCTTTATCACCACACCGCACTCATTTTTCTCTTCGAGCTTGCCACATTCTGTAATTTTTATTGTATTGTTATCTGGCTACCCCATGTGCTCAGAGATTATATTGATTCCACTCAATATCGTACACCTAGGATCTAGCACACAGGTGGGCACACAGTAGGTGCTCAATAAATGGATATATGCAGAATATTAATACTTGATGTTAAAGAGAAAAGCTCACTAAAAGAGCATGTTAAATAAGAAAACCACACACTGCAGAACAGTCATTTCTGTTATTTTTGATGATGATACAGGCTAAAGTGTATTTATGGCTTACTCAGTTCCAAGAACCTTGCAATACTCTAGATGAATTATCTAATTTAAATATCTTAACAATCCTAACAAAAGGTGTTATTCCATTTCACAAATGAGGAAATCGGGGCACAGAGAAGATGAAAGATATTATGGCTCATATCAAATAGGTGTTTAGTAGACTGCAGCGACTAGCAGTCAATCCTACTTATTTAAAAGTAATTTTTAAAACATTTAAGTTAAGGCAATTCAGAATCAAATCAGTATTTATGGCTACTAACTTATTATATTACTGATACTTTAAGATGGTCACTTGAACAAAATACTTAACAACTATAAGCACATAAGCACACCAAAAAATTTATGAATTATCCAGATCTTTTTCCTTGAGTGCCAAGGGATCCTTTTAAGATTAGGGTATAAGCTGTTTGAAAAGCAAGCTTTAAAAATCTTCCCCATTTTGTACAACAAAATGCAACCACTCCAGTTTAAAATATATCTGGCAATATTTTGAGTGAAAATATTGCAATCTTTTGCTAATATGGTTGAGACTGGCCTAGCAGACAATCAGAAGTAATCTTCTCATCTTTCATTATCCAAATTCCTTGAATAAAAAATAACACAAATTAAATACTAATGGGAAATCTAGGTTATGTTTAAAAGGACTTGAGGCTGGGTACAGTGGCTCCTACCTATAATCCCAGCACTTTGGGAGGTTGAGGCAGCAGGACTGCTTGAGCCCAGGAGTTTGAGATCAGCCTGGGCAACAGAGTGAGACCCTGTCTCTACAAAAATTTTTTCAAAAATTAGCTGGACATGGTGGCACATGCCTGTAGTCCCAGTTACCTAGGAGCCTGAGGTGGGAAGGTTGCTTGAGCCAGAGAGGTTGAGGCTGCAGTGAGCCATGATCGTGCACAGACTCCATGACATCATATCTCAAAAACAAAAAACAAAACAAAAAAAAAGAAAAAGAAAAAAGAATAAAAGGACTGGAATTTTAATCTTGAGAGTATAAAATAGAAATTATTACATGGAAATAAATGTAGCAGATGAGGTACACACATACATTTTTTACTTTAGTCTGGCATTTTCTTTTCCGTTAAAATCCCAACTAACGCAAGAAAGTTGAATCTTATAGCTCAAAGTCACAAAAGTTAGTAAAAAGAAGTCTGGTAAACATTTAAAAATTTTCTTTAATTACTCATTTCTCAGCGTTATAAAATGTCTCTGTTTCTGCAAAACTACATGCTTACTCTATGGAACATCAGGTAAACACAAAATCGTGTTTCCCCCCCCCCCCATAAAAGACCATAATACCGACCAGATGGGGTATGCACAATTAAATTGATTTTTAATAAGAAATTCTTGGCACAATAGAACATAATCGCTCCAAATTGTGTCAAGGACTTCGTAAATTTTTTTTATAGTTCAAGGCTTAGACTCTTCAGTCCAAATTCTGAGCTGGCTTGCTAGGGGACTGAATAGCTCTTGAGACCAGTAAGGAAATAATGAGCCTTTCATCTGGAGGTCACTGGTTAGGATCTGCTGTCGTTCATTAATGACACAGCTGTTTCCAACCTCCTGGTGTTGGAACAGTGGCAGGGGGTCTATTATGGAAGGGGTAGCAGAAATATGTATAAGATCACTTCATTTATGGACAGGATCTATGGCAAATATTTGAGAACATGTGTTTTATAACCAATAAAGTCACACCCTTAACTTATTGACAGTAAGATTTAGTGCCTGGCTGCACAGACTAGGATCATCAGAAGAGAATTCTGATGCTATCCCTCTATTCCCATCAGCCACAGTGAGCCTGTGGCCTGGGCAAGGTGTGAACTTGCTTTGTGTCTCATTTTCTGGTTTTGGAAAGTAGAGCGAAAGGTCTGTCTACTCTCCCAGCGGAGGGTTATAAGGAAAGAATCACATATATATATTTTAAAAATTCAGTTACTGAACTGTTTACTAAGGCCCTGCTTCAAGTTTTGCTCTGTGCTATGGGTAGGAGTTGCAAAGGTGAGACACCATCTCTGTCCAACAATTCACTCTGTTTGGGGACAGGCATGGGACGTATCTGAAGTGCAGAAAAGTTCTTTGGGAACACAGGAGAGGAAGAAACAGGTTACGTCTGGAGGAGTGAGCACAACTTTTCCAAATGTGGTGGCCACTTGGGCTGGGTCTTGAAGTATCAGATTCCATTCAGCAACTGGGTGCGGGGAGAAGGGGCACTGAAAGTAGAGAGAACAACTTGTACAAAAGCCTAGCAGGTGTGAGCTGCCAGGTGGCTGGAACAAGGAAAATGAAGTGAGAGAAGAGGGCTGGATTCAGACCGTGAAGGACACTAGACATGAATTCTCCAAATACATGAGCAGCTGTGCACACATTCCCTAAGAGAAATCTAAAGATCCATGTATCTACAAATCTCAAAAACTATCTCAATATGTTTTATGTCCTTTTTGGTATGGTAAAATATACAGAACATAAAATTCACCATTTTAACTGTTTTCAAGTGTGCAGTTCAGTGGTATTAAAAACATTTACCTTGATGTGTACCCATCACCATCATCCATCTCCAGGACTTTTTCATCACTCCAAACTGAAATTCTGTATTAATGGTATTAATTAAACCATTAAACTCTATATTAATGAGTATTAAGCAACTCTCCTCTCCCCACAGTCCCTGTTTTGCCTCTATGAAATCATGCAATATTTGTCCTTGTCTGTGTAGCTTATATTTCTTAACATAAAGTTTTATTCATCCATGTTGTAGCATGTATTAGGACTTCATTCTTTTTAAGGCTAAATAATATGCCATTGTATGTATATAGCATACTTTGTTTATTCATTCACCCATACATGGATATTTGGGTTGTTTCCACTTTTTGGCTACTGTGAATAATGCTGCTATAAACAGTGGTATAAAAACATGGGTTCAGTCCTTGCTTTCAATTCTCTGGGATATATACCCAGAAGTAGAATTGCTGGATCATATAGTAATTCTATGTTTAATATCGTGGAGGTACAGCAATACTATCTTTCAAGTGGCTAAACCATTTTACTTTCCCAGCAGCAATACACAAGAGTTTCAACTTATCTACATACTCTGTAACTCTTTTTTGTTTTCTATTGATAATAGACATCCTAATGGGTATGAAGTGGTATCTCAGTGTAGCTTTGAATTACATTTCCTTAATCATCAGTGATGCTGAGCACCTTTTCATTGCTTATTGGATATTTGCATATCTTCTTTGGAGAAATGTCTACTCAAGTCTTTCGCCCATTTTTGAATTGGTTTTTTGCTGTTGTGTTTAGGAGCTCTTCAGATATTTTGGATATTAATCTCTTATCGGATATATGATTTGCAAATATTTTCTCCCATTCCATAGGCTGCCTTTTCACTCTGTTGATAGAATCTTTTGAAGGGCAAAAATGTTGAATTTTGATGAAGTCCAATTTGTCTATTTTTTGGTGTTGTTGCCTATATTTTTGGTGTTCAAGTAAACACTGCCAAATTCAATGTCATGAAACTGTCCCCTTATGTCTTCTTCTAAGAGTTTTATTGTTTTAGGTCTTACGTTTAGGTCTTTGATTCATTTGGAGTTAATTTTTTTTTTTTTGAAACAAGGTCTCACTCTGCCGCCCAGGCTGGAATGCAGTGGTATAATCACGGCCTACTGCAGCCTCAGCCTCCCCAGGACTCAGGTGATCCTCCCACCTCAGCACCCGCCTCATCCCCATGAGTAGCTGGGACTACAGGAATGCGCCACTACAACTGGCTAATTTTTGTATTTTTATTTGGTAGAGATGGGATTTCACCACGTTGCCCAGACTGGTCGCAAATTCCTTGGCTCAAGTGATCCACCTGCCCTGGCCTCCCAAAGTGCTGGAATTACAGGTGTGAGCCACTGCATCTGTCCTGAATTATCTTTTTCATATGGTGTTAAGTAAGGGTCCAACTTCATTATTTTGCATCTGGATATCCAGTTTTCCTAGCCTCATTCGTTGAAAGGACTTTTTTTTTTTTTTTTTTAATTGAATGCTCTCGGCACTCTTGTTGAAAATCATTTAATTACATATTCCAGGGTTTACTTCTGGGCTCTCTATTCTATTCCATTGGGTCTACGTATCTGTCTTTATGGTAACACACACTGTTTTGACTACTGTAGCTCTGTAGTAAGTTCTGAAATCAGGAAATGTTGAGTCCTCCAAACAGATTGTTCTGGCTATTTGGGGATCCACTGGGCTTCCATATGAAGCTTAGAATAGGTTTTCCTGTTTTTGCAAAAAATGTCACTGGGATTTTGAGTCTACAGACTCAATGCAATCTCTACATATTTGCATTTAGGTAACATCTAAAATTTTTAATGATAAGGATAAATAGTTGTAAAAGATATAATTTCTGGCATATTATAAATATTAAAACTATAAAATAAATTTACATCACTTTTTAATGTGGCTAATGGATTCTAAATACCACAGATATTCATCACAACCCACTTTTAAAAAGACATTAACAAGCACTTAATGAGTGTGTGTGTGTGTGTGTGTGTGTCTGTATGTGTGAGCACATGAAGAGATTCATTATAAGGAATTGATTCACGCAATTAGAAAGGTGGGCAGGTCCCAAGATCTGCAGAGGGGGTCTGTAAGCTGGAGACCCAGGAAAAGCTGATGTTTCAGTTCCAGTCTGAAGGCAGGGAAAAAAGGCTGATGTACCAGTTTGAAGGCAGCTAGGCAGGAGGACTTTTACTCACAGGAGGGTCAGTCTTCTGCTCTCTTCAGGCCCTCAGCTGATGGGATGAGGCCCACCCACATTAGGGAGGGCAATCTGCTGTCCTCAGTCTCCCTATTTAGATGTTAAGCTCATCCAAAAGCATCCTCACAGAAACACCCAGAATAATGTTGACCAAATACCTGGGCATCCCATGGCTCAGTAAAGTTCATATAACATTAACCATCACAGGGTACTGGGGACACATGGCTAGAACCTCAATTCTGGAAATGCTTCTATGATCTCCCCACCTCCACAAGATTCCATTCAGTGTCCTTTCTCTGTTCCCACAGCCTCATCACAGGCCATATTATATCGTATCATCATATCCTATCATATACCGTATCATCATATATCATACCATATCATATATCATACCATATCATATATCATATCATCAGATCATATCACCATATTATATCACATCATCATATCACCATATCATATCATACCATCATATATCATATCATATCATATCATATCATATCATATCATATATCATCATCCTGGCTGGCTTGCCTGTCTCTCCCACTGGACTGTGAACTCCTTGATGTCTTTGCAGTGCCCTGAAGACCTTACTCTGGAGTCAGACCAACTGGCTAACATCCTGGCTCTCCTACTCTTAGCTGTATACTTAGGCAACTTTCTTTTTTTTTTAATTTTATTTTAAGTTCTGGGGTACATGCGCAGGATGTGCAGGTTTGTTACATAGGTAAACATGTGCTATGGTGGTTTGCTGCACCTGTCAACCCATTACCTAGGCATTAAGTCCAGCGTGCCTTAGCTATTTTTCCTGATGCTCTCCCTCCCCAACCCCCACAGGCCCCAGTGTGTGGTGTTCCCCTCCCTGTGTCTATGTGTTCACACTGTTCAGCTCCCCATGCGGTGTTTGGTCTTCTGTTTCTGCGTTAGTTTGCTGAGGGTAATGGCTTCCAGTTCCATCCATGTCCCTGCAAAGGACATGATCTCATTCCTTTCTATGGCTGCACAGTATTCTATGGTGTATATGTACCACATTTTCTTTAGCATTCTATCATTGATGGGCATTTGGGTTGATTCCGTGTCTTTGCTAGTGTGAATAGAAACAAGGATTTCTTGAAGAGTCAAAAATTTTGTATCATTCCTTCTACCTTGAACTCGTTTTCCATTCCACTTGACACATATAGTTTTACCATAATTTAATGTAGTTTTGTTTATTTTATTGATCACTTGTTATACTTCACAGAAATGGTAAATGGAAATCTTACTTAATTTTGTTTTAATTTCTATTCCTATTACTCATTTCTATAGATCTCAGTCCTGAGAAATCTATTAATAGTTCACACATTAAAAAGAATGTAAAGCTTCATTACAGCAAGAGCCATCAATACTTTAGATTTCTTCTGAACCGTATGCCAAAAATAATATGGTGCTGTATTGCAAAGTTATTTGAAATCTTCTATCTGCTGACATCGTGATTAGGTCGTTTTCTAAATTTTCTAAAAAGCAAAGAAACAGAAACCACTGACTAGTGAAAATAGTTGTTAATTAGTCACAAGAATCATTTACTTTCTTAACTTCTGAGAAGTATATCTAGAGGTATACCAAGAAGTTTCAAATGACCTTTAATTATCCCTGCTATGGTCTCATTTAGATTTATCTTTTTTCACTCAGTACACTCAGCAAAGTTTGAGGAAAGTAAAATTGTTTCATTTGTAATAGCCTCTTGCTACTTCATTGCCATTTGATAAAATAGTTTTCTCTTATCACACAGGGCTAAGCTTGCTCACATTGTATTCTTTGTGAAAAAGGTTCTCTCCAACATATCACAGTCACTGTGTCACATGCCTTAAGTGCTCTTTCAAACCCTACAGTTGCAGATTTAGCTCATTCAAGTTTTGGAAAATTTTTGCCACACTCTGACAACACCTCTGTCTTCACTTTCTAACCAATCAGTTAAATCATAAAAAAAGACTCTGATTTCATATTTCAACTACAATGCACATGTTAATAAACATGCCATGATGACTCTTTTGCTTCTGAGCTTCCACTCATAGACACAGATGGATCTGATGAACAGTCTGGCCATGACCTTGGTGTCTCCACGATATCAGAGGCAGCTGCCTCCCATGTTTCTCACTGGCAGTTTCTTTGGACTTTTGCTCAGGAGCAAGGTATCGCTGACCATTGTGTATGGTGAGAGGGTGTATTGTACAGCTGAATAGATACTGTCTCAACTCCCTGACAGAAGATAAATATCCTATCAGGGTCCAGATATAATAAACATAGGCAGTCTTTTCTTTTTTTTTTTTTTCCACTAAATGTTGTCTCATTGGTTTGTATCCCTAAGATTTTTTGTATCATGATGCATACACCACAGTAAAGACTTGAAGAAGTGAGATGTATTCCTTCCTTTTGTAAACTGGGAAATGTGGGCTCTGGAGAGGGAGGTGGGGAGGGAGGGCCCAGAGTACCACGGAAGTGGACCACTACAAATGGACTCTCGTGGAAAGTTCATCTGTCCTTAGGAATGCTTTCTGCTCTTGAATCTGCTTTCTCAAAGCAACTGGGAACACAGGGCAACTACATCAAGGTAGTGGGGTGGGGGGTAGCATGATTCACTGACAGTTTTTGTAAGTCTAACCTAACCACTGACTTGTGAAAGTATTTGTTAATTACTTGTTAGATAATTGTTAATTACCTAAACAGAAATGTTTGGGAGCAGGCTGGAGTGTCAGGAGAGGCAGGAATCCCACATGGGCCAGGAACAGTGGTACATGCCTTTAATCCCAGCTACTTGGGAGGCTGAGACAAGAGGATCACTTGAGGCCAGGAGTTTGAGACCAGCTGGGATTAGTCTTGAAGAAAGATCCTGAGAGGTCCTGGCTGATGGACCTGATATAGGGTGGCAGCAAAGAATGACTCCAGGCATTTTCTGATAGGAGACAGGAAAGATGGCAACAAACACAACCAAAGGTGAAGCTCGGGAGGGAGAGCGCCAAGTGGTAGATGAATGTATTTTGGGGGTATGTTTAAGGCACAGTACCTGTGGGCTCTCCAGGAAAAAATCCACAGCACAAGGCTGATGCTCAGGGGAGAGTTTCTGATAAGAAAAATGTTTGTAACATTGGCAAATATGCTATAACCACAGCAGTGGAAGTCTCCAGCAAGGGAACTTATGTAAGGAGGCAAGAGGAAATCCATGGTGGGCCTCTGGGCGACAGCAACACTTAAAGGTCAAGGGCAAGGACAGAAGCAAAGAAAAGGGACTTTGCAATACATTTCATAAACGGTACCTAAAGTTTATGGCTCCTCTATTTTAACCCTAAGTAAGTATTTATTCTGGGACAGAGACTTCATCAGACATGACTGGCCACAATCAGGAAGCATGACCTCCTCCAGAGCCATTGCTGAGAATGGCAGTGGGGAAGAGGTTACAGAAGAGGTCAAGCTGGCTCAATAGCCCTGTCTGTCCAACAGATCAAAAATGACATGAGACAAACAAAGCCCAACCTGTGCCGCCCATGGTAAAAGCACTCTCCTCCTTGGCCCTTCGTCCCAGCTGTTAGACCCCACAATCCCGGCTATCAGTTTCTGGCACTCAGAAGTGGCAGCTTCCTCAAGGGCCCACACTAGGAGCTGCTGCAAAAGGCTTAGCACTAAGACCCCTGCAAGGACAGAAATGGGAAACAGCACCAGGAGCCCCACCTCTCAGTCAGCACCACGTGTCCCTCCCAGGCCCCAGAAAGCTGCAGGTGGATGATGCTGGTGCATTCAGCTCACAGTTTCACGTGGAAAACCATTCTTGAATACTTGTTCCTTTCTCCTTCCCCTTTCTCTTTGCTCTCAGCTTTTATTTTCAGAAGGAACAAGCAATATTGCCTTAAAAAATTCCTAGCAATCAAGCTACTATCATGGTCATTTTATTGTTTATGCTTAATTATGGCATTATTAATATTCAGAAAATACCATAATTTATTGAAAATAATTTTAAGGCATTGATATAGCAAGTTGTCTATTGTAAGTGTACTTTTATGACTTCAGAACAGTAGCTGAACAATCAACAGAAATATTTTTCAATCCTGCTGAAAAGCCTAAGAATACTAATATAGATAGGGAATCAGCAACTGCTGAAGGAAATAATTACAGCATGGAATGTGTTTTATGAGGAGTAAAATCCTCAAAATATATTTTATTGCTGCAGATGCTTGTATACATTAGAATTTCACTAAATAGGCTAATGTCTGATTTAACCTGAATATATGACACAATCATGAACACCTGGAAAAGAAATCCACAGCTAATTCCATGGAAGGTCCTCTTAATTATCATCCAAGTATGAATAAATATATAGTTAAAATACAATATTCTTTGTATTTGCACAGTGTAAAATCCCTTTCCACAACAGAATTTAAAGGAGATGGATAGTGCTTTTCATTATCTACATTTGCTAACAAGTTTGTTCTCTACTGTTTTCATAACAACAGAAATTCTATTGTTTTCTGGAAATTCTTCCAGGAAAGGAAAATAAAAGAGATAAGCCATGAAAAAAACTCTCACATTTTATCACAGGGTCAAATTACTGTGAACATATGTTACTTTTACTAGCATCTGAAATGTATTAGCCATTCAGTATTTCAATATTTGCATTACTAGATGGATGTTAAATGATGTAATTAATAAATAAAAGAGCTAATTAAAGAAAGACTGAACACACCCATTGGGGCTTTTAAGAGAAGTTTTCACAAGAAAGAACACAGAGAAAACAGAGATGAATGAGAGAACAAAAGAAAACATTAAATAAATTTTATTTCATATCCTCAAAGAGATAGGAGAAGATATTACATCTGTAAACTAAGATCAGAATGCTTGTAGGGAAAAAAAGACATAAAAAAGAACTTGAAAATTAAAAAGAGAGTATAAAAACCCAATCCTCAATAGAGGACCTAGAAGATAAGTCACGGAAATATCCAAGACAGTAAAAGGATAAGATTAGAATGTAAACCCAGAAGGTTAAATATATGACTAAGTTGTAGAGAGACAGAATGTAGAAAATGCAAAGGAGGATATTACCAAAAAATAATAGAAGAAAATTTCCCAGACTAAAGGAAACCAGTCTTTAGATTGAAAGCGCATTAAGAAAAGGATATCCACAAAAACACATATCTTTGTAAATTTCAGAACACTAAACATAAAGAGAAAATAGAATCTAAATGCCAAAGATGGAGAATCAAAATTGCATTGAGTTTCCAATCAACCAGAAGTAAGCTAAACAACACATAGCATTCTGACAGAAAAAGAATTTCAGCCTAGAATTTTATACCCAGCTAATCTACCAATCAAATATAATCAAAGAATAAAGATATTGTGGCTATCCAACGTCTCAGAAATATACTGCTGATGTAACAGTAAGAATCTATTGATACATATACTTCAGGAATGTGAGTGAGGAAACTAAGAATAAAGAAAACAAGGAATCCAGGAAATGGTGCCCTCCTGGAGAGCATCAAAGAGAAGTGAAGTCCAGCAGCAAGCAGAGCCTAGAGAGCAAGCAGTCCAGATAGGGACTGGAGGAGAGGGTGCTTCAGAAGGAAGGGGAAGGGGGACAAGAGACTCAGACAAACATACTATAATGGTACATCTTGAGAGTATTAAACAAATGTAGGATGCAGTTAGGGTAAAAGACAAAAAGAAAGGCCATTAGAAACCACAGAGAAAACTGAAACCTGAACAAGAAAGAAAAAAAAATCATACTTTTTAGCCCTACAATGAACATTATTTACATAATTTAAAGAGGTTATCATGGATCCCTGAATTAATTAAAATTAGAGATGTAACTATGTGGGAAGGGAGAAGGAGAGGAGGCAAAGCTGTAATGTAGAGAGGGAAATCCTCACCTGTTGAAACAGGAAGTCAAAAGATAATGTCTAAAATGAACCAAATTTAGCATACTGCAAAATAGGCACACATATTCAGAGATATGAAGACAACTTCCAGAAGAAACAATTGGGTTTTCTTTGAGATAGGGTCTTGCTCTGTCACCCAGGCTGGAGTGCAGTGGCACAATCATTGCTTACTGCAACTTCAACTTCCTAGGCTCAAGTGATCCTCCTGCTTCAGCTATCTGAGTAGCTGAGACTATAGGAACATGTCACCACGCCTGGCTAATTTTTGTGTGTTTTGTTTTGTTTTGTAAAGATGGAGTTGCATCATGTTCCTAGGCTTGTCTCAAATTCCTGGGCTCAGACAATCCACCCACTTCAAGCCTCCCAAAGTGCTGTGATTAAAGGTGTGAGCCATTGCGCCTTGCCCTAGAAGAAAAATCTAAAGAGCTTTTCTTTAGGGTTTATGAATAGAAGAGAAGTACAACCGGGGCAAGGATAATCATTTTTAATGATATTAAATATATCCATACACTGTATATACATACACATAACACACACGTATACTACGCCTCCAGCTTCTATAACTTTTAAATAAAGTATATTTTATTTTGATTTAAAATTTGATGCAATTGACTTCATTTTCCCAAGACATTATATAAATCATTGACTAGCTAGTACTGTTTTCATTTCTACATTGACATTTGGATTATATTTAGCATTTTTCTGCTGCCAAAATTATGTCACTGATATTGCTATGTATTTCATTGCCAAGTGCCTTTCACACACTAATTATCAATTTTAAATCATGTGATTACATCCCACTCAGTATAGCTGATATAGTTAAGAGGGAAAAAACTCCAGGGAAACAGCTGCCTCTTAGTTAAGATGACAGGATCTTTTAGTATAGTCATGGACATTTTTTTTTTCTTTTAAGGGAGGCAAATGACAAAAATTGTGCATAATTCTGTATTAGATTCATCCCTTAAGATACCATAACATCATGGACGAAATTCACAGGGTAAGTTGAAAACAAAATGAAACGAAATATAAACATAATCAGAATTGTATCCTTTAATATTTATTTTCCAAAAAAAACTGGAAAGTTCATCAACAATTTGATGGGATAGACATAATCACACCAATAACCGTTCAAAAACTCAAATAGTCTACTCAGGAAACAAGTGACTGACTGCAACTGCGTGTACATCCAGCTCCCTCTGCTCGCTCCCTCTCTCTCTTTCTCCACACCCTATTGCTCTCAGTGAGCCATTCATGTCCCAGTATTTGAGCTTTTTAGAAATTTATTTACTAAGATAGACATAGTCATATATTATTGTTGCTGGACAATGGATCTATCAATCAGAAATATCTGTAAGGTTGGAAAGGATTAATTAATTCAATTTATTTTTATTAAATATTGAGTACATATCAGGTTTTGGAGATAGAGTAGTGTTTTGTTTTTTTTTTCCTTAAAAAAAAAAGACAGATGTTCTCTGCCCTCAAGATGTTTAAATTGGGGCTGGGCCCAATAACAGACTGCATATTTGCTTTTTTCATCCCAAATGGAGTCAGTGCTATTTATTAAAGACAGTAAAATGTGCCAAGGACCTGAAGGAGGGTTCCCCGAGGAAAGGCCACTTCAGCTGAGCCTTCAGATGTGGCCAGGAGCTGGCTGCATGGGCCTATAGCGAGATCAGCAGTCTCCATTCAAATTCTCATCTTTAACTTACTATCTAAAGAAACAGACTTCTGTACAAATTAGTTAGCAATAAGATTAGAAGTATGGGTAAATTCAGAAACAGTAAGAAGCCTCGTTCAGAGAGAGTGCTTTTCCCACAGTAGTCAATATTGAATGGAGGTTAGAGACTACCAAAAGCTGAAGGAAAGCTGTTATGGCAACTGTTCTCCTGGGGTTCAAAATCCAATGGAAAAACAAAAACAAATGGAACTGATGCAACTTTCTCCTTGACTGTATTTAGATGGTTGAAGCTGCCAGAAGCCAGCTCCCCAGGAAGCAGACAGCTGACATGGTCCTCTCTGGGGCAACACATTAATTACGACTTGACACATATGCATGTCTTCTCCGATGCCCCAGGGTTTTGACCTCTGGTTATAACTCACTCCTGCTTGATCATTTATTGAACACATATTTATGGAGCACCAACTATGGACTAGGCTCTACTCCAGGAGCTGGAGATTGAGGGGGAAAGACAGATAGGATCCTTGTCTCCAAGGCACCTATGGACCAGTGAGGACACAAGTAATACAGAAGGAAACGTACAAATAAGAACATCAGAGCTCTGAAGAACACAGGGTGTTGTGAGCTAGAGGAGAGACCCACCAACCTTTCAAAAGGGAACAGAACATTTGGGAGCAAAGCAGCTAGAGGAAGAAAAGTGCCACCTGTTCAGATAAGTAAAGAGGGCAATACAGCTGGAGCATAATAAGGAATTATGAGCGTGGTGCCAAAAGGTGGGAAGCTCAGCAGGGGTGGATCACAAAGGGAGGGGAAAGGACAGGGCAGGGGAAGACAAAGCAGGAAGAACGAGTGTTGAGATGAAAGAATCAACAGCTCTCTTTTGGACATGTTAAGTTTGAAAGGGCAAAGCAATATAGATTTTCATTTTAGATAAGACACTTCATTTTTATTCTTTGTTTTATTTCAGATTCAGGGGGTACATGTACAGGTTTGTTACGTGGGTATACTGCGAGATGCTGAGGTTTGGGCTTCCATTGATCATGTCACCCAAATAGTGAACACAAGTACCTAACAGGTAGTTTTTCTAACCTGCGGCCTCTCCCTCTCCCATTTCAGAGGCCCCTGTGTCTGTTGTTCCCATCTTTGAAGACACCTCACTTTTAAAAGCAGTATTTCACTGTTTAATAATTTTAAGCTAATATTATTTCATATACAAGCAGTGTCATTGTCCAAGTCAGACAACTGAAGATGTAGCGTGTAAATTTCAACAGCACAGTTTGCAAAAAGTGCATGTGTCCTTCATGCCTACCTCTTAGGTAGGACGCAATTCTTCCTTCTGAGATTTGTATTCCTTAGTTCTCTTTCAGCTCTGTGGAAAACCTCTCAGCTCTCTGAAAATATGGATTGCCAGTTTGCTTCTCAAGTAATCTCTGTTTATAAAGTTACAGTGGTTTGTAAAAGTTAAGACATGGGTATTAAAGTGTATCTGAAAGATGAAAAAAAATTTTAAGTAGAAATATACTTTAAATAGGTATTTCAGGTATAAAAAGTCTTTGTGGGGGCCAGGCACAGTACCTCAAGCCTGTAATACCAGCACTTTGGGAGGCTGAGGTGGGAGGTTGAGCCCAGGAGTTTGAGAACAGCTTGGGTGACACAGTGAGACAACTCTACAAAAAAAAAATTTTTTTTTTTTTTTGAGATGGAGTCTTGCTCTGTCACCCAGGCTGGAGTGCAGTGGCATGATATCGGTTCACTGCAACCTCTGCCTCCCCAGTTCAAGTGATTCTCCTGCCTCAGCCTCCCGAATAGTTGGGATTACAGGCATGCACCACCATGCCCAGCAAATTTTTGTATTTTTAGTAGAGATGGGATTTCACCACGTTGCCCAGGCTGGTCTCAGACTCCTGACCTCAAGTGATCTGCCTTCCTCGGCCTCCCAAAGTGCTGGGATTACAAGAGTGAGCCACCATGCCTGGCCTCTACAAAAAATTTAAACATTTAGCTGGACATGGTAGTGCATGCCTGTAGTCCCAACTACCTAGAAAGTTGAAGTGGGAGAATCACTTGAGCCCAAGAAGTCAAAGCTTCAGTGAGCTATGACTGTGGCACTGCACTCCAGCCTGGGTGACACAGCAAGACCCTGTCTCAAAAAAAAAAAAAAGTCTTGGGGAGCAAAAAAGCCAGTTTGAACTTGGGCTAAAAAATGTTTATGTTTTGTTCAGAATGCTCTCTTTCTTGTCTTTAAATTAAGGCAACTTGTGATTTAAACCACTGATGAAAATATCTCCAAAAGTGTCTTAAGAGACAGACTAAAGTGCATGGCTACTGTAGAGCCTCAGTATCAGATGCAGTAAATGAGTAGCTTACTGTAGAAAAAAAGAACAATAAAACATAAAATATTAAAAGGAAATTTACCCTTTATTCCTTTCTTCCTGTGTGTGTGAGACAGACAAGTGATTTTAGGGGTTATTGTGCTTTGCAGTGTTACTTCTGGCTTCTCGAGTGCACAGGAAAAGAAGTAACATGAGCAGAGTGAGTTAAAAAAAGAAACAGGTAGGAATAGCTGTTGTAAAGGAATTAAATGGTCTAAGTCTACTCAAGGGAAATACAGCAAAACATTTACAGTAACAGGATTAAAGATACTTTTCCATTCTCTATTTTTCACAAAGATTTAGTAATGGATCCATGAATTACTCACACTGGATTAATGTGCTCACTATTTGTTTTTATTAAAATAATTTTGCAGATAGATGTATAAATAAATGGGATAGAACTGAGAGTCCAGGAATAAATCCTCTCTGTTTTAGTCAATTGATTTTCAACAAGTTACCAAGACAATTCAATAGGAAAAAGAATAGTCTTTTCAGTAAATGGTACTGGTACAACTATATATCAACATGCAAAAGAATGAAGTTGGACAACTACCTCACACCATTAACAAACAATAACTCAAAATAAATAACAGTCGTAAGTTTAAGAGCTGAATCTATAGAATTCCTACAAGAAAATGGAGTAAAGTTTTTTGACCTTGGGCTAGGCAGTAATTTTTTAGATAAGGCACCAAAAGCATAAGGGACAAAAGAAAAAACAGATAAATTAGACTTTATCAAAATTACAAACATTTGTGCTAAAAAAAAAAAACACTATAAAGAAGGTGAAAAGACAACCTACAGAATGGGATAAAATATTTACAAATAATATATCTCATATAGGATTTGGCATTTGTATATAGATTACATAAAGAACACTTATAGTCCAACAATAAAAAGACAACCCAATCCAAAAATGGGCAAAGAATCTGAATAGACATTGCTCCAAAGATGATATATAAACGGCTAATAACCACATGAAAAGATGTTTAACATCCTTACTCATCATGGAAATGGAAACCAAAACCACAATGGCATACCACTTCAAACCCATCAGAATGGTTATAGTAAAAAAAGACAGACAATACAAGTGCTGGTGAGGATATGGAGAAACTGGAACCTAGCACATTGCTGGTAAGAATGTAAAATGATGAAGCCACTTCAGAAAACAGTTCAACAGTTCCTCAAAATGTTAAAGATAGCGTTATCATTATGACTCACCAATTCCACTTCTAGGTATTGAAGAGAACTGAATACCTATTTCTATACAAAAAACCTGTATACAGATGTTCATAGCAGTGAAACCAAGAGGTTAATCTGATCACAACTGCCTGCTCTGCTTGCTTTTGGCCACTTGCTTTATGTTATTTTTGTCCCTTTTCCATGAAGTTGAAGGCCGTGCCACAGAACACTGAAACTTAACCATTACTGGCTGCATTACAGATGACATTCCTGGTAATGTTGGCTTCAGCTGTTTTTCAGAAACTTGGGCCAGCTGCTGTTCACTTCAAACCAGCTGAGACCACCAACCCTTCAAGTGGGCCTGCGCAAATGCCTGAGAGGTGGCCTTTTGAAGCCAGAGGGCCAAAAAACTCCACCCACAGATCATGCTAAAGCTGCCATCTTCTGTATATATGTCATATGAAGTGCCAAGAACCCCAAATACGCTTGCACAAATGAACCTGTTACTTCCTAACCCAAAAATATTCCTAAGTCTTATCGGCAGGGAGGTGGATTTGAGAGCTGTTCTCCCGCCTCCTCAACTTACCCCTGTGAACAAATCTTTTCTCTTTTGGAAACCTCAGGATACATGCTGCCCTACGTATGTTTCTTTGTAAAGCAAGCATTTCTAGGGCATGAAATAAAGTTGATCTTCCAACAAATGAAGAATGATCTCCCATCTCATCACCAGGAGCCTGCTCTTATGACCTGCCCTTCAGAGTAGAAGATATTATATTAGAGCACTGCATACTGTTATTTGAGATTAAAGTGTTTGCATTTTTTTTACTTTCTTATACATACTGGATATACCTACCATGAATTAAATAGTCCAGAAAAAAAAACTATATTGGCAATCATTTAGCATCTTTGAATGCATCCAAATCAATGTGAGAACTAATAAGTTCTTACATTGATCTATAGCCTTCATCAAGTCAGTAATTTAAATATTTCCACGGTTTCAAAATTAAGTGCCATGTGCCATTTTATAAACACTCAGACTCAATCCCTGGAACACCATCATGGTTTACAGTATGGAATACATATGGAGACTATATATGCACTGCTTTAAATTTCAAGCATGTAGAGATTTCCAAAGCAAGCTCTGCTTTTGAGTAAATTATACATACTACAGCTTTTATTATAACCAGACAAAAGATATCTTACTTTGTTACTCTTTTTCTTTTTTTTTGAGACAGGGTCTTACTCTGTTGCCCAGGCTGGAGTACAGTGGCATGATCTTGGCTCACAGTAGCCTTGACCACCCTGGGCTCAGGTGATCCTCTGATCTTAGCTTCCCAAGTAGCTAGGAATACAGGTGTGCACCACCATGCCTGGCTAATTTTGTATTTTTGCATTTTTTATAGAGATAGATTTTTGCCATGTTGCGCAGGCTGGTATCGAACTCCTAGGCTCAAGTGATATGTCCACCCCAGCCTCCCAAAGTGCTGGGATTACAGGTGTGAGCCACCACACCTGGCCTCCTCATTAAATAAAAGGTAGAAGGAAAAAAAATAGGGTAGATGGAAAAAATAAGCTAACTCCAAGTATCCATCTGTTGGATTCTAAAGCAAAGTCTGAATTTGTAGGAAATGAGAATGCAAACAAGAAAAGTTATTTTAACAAAACTCTTAGCAAAGCACCGAAAATACATAGACTGAAAATTAATGACCAAGAAAACAGAAGCTGGCAACTGAATGTTTAATGTCAGTGAGTTGGATAACTGTTACATTTTGGACCTAAGACCTCCATAATTTAAAACTATTAAACAATGCTAAAAATCTGCTGGCAGTGTTTAACCATTTAACGCCTCATTTTTCTCCTGCACAAACCTCTTAAACCTCAGCTAGCTTCTACCTTTTCTTGATGCTAGAAGTCCCCTTGGGCAGAGACTCTGATTTTAAGTTCACAGAATTCATTTTTCTGCGCACTAAGTTGAGAAGTCCCCAAACCAGCCTGTGGCAGCTCGGCACCCAGAATGCACGGGGTTCAGAGTGTCTCTCCTGGAGGAGCCCCTTCAGAGTAAACAAAATGCCAGCCCAAAGGAAGCTCTGTCTTAACAGAAAAAGAGGAAAAGCTCATCTTTAAAGACACTTCTATATTTAGAATGTGTTTACAGAAAGCTCCACTGTGTAGAGGTACCAATAAGAGAGAAACTAGCCACACATTCTAGTCCTGTACGTGTAGAAACAATTGTTTTTCTCTATTTAATTGTTAGATTAATATACTTATAAAGCTACAAAACTCATTATATAAAATTGGTTAAAATTATAGAAAATTAAACTGTAAAACACATGGAAGTTGCATTTCAGAATTAAAATGAGCTTTACCATCCCTGTCAGAGCGGAGAGGCTTCTAAATCTTATAGCTTTTTAAACAGGCACCACTTATTTCTATCTTTACACTTTTAATACAAGCTGTAATATTTGGTAACACTCCTTCACAGCCAAGAATCCACTGTACATTAATATCATTAAAACGGCCATTCCTTACCCCACCCCCAGCAGAAAATGACTATTAATTAAGACAAGCATTTTATACATACTGGAAAAAACGAAAAGGCAAAGTTGAAACAAAATGCTTTGCCAATGTATACAATATATGATATGCATAGGTAGTGACTTCGCCAGTGGAATATTATTGCTAATGTGCTTTTTTCTCTAAAAACTCATCTCTTTGTCCTTGCTGTGTATAATCATTTGTTATTTCTTCCAACACAGAAAACAGAAGTTCTTGTGCTGCTTGTCATACTACTTCAGTGTGTGCTCTTTAAAATAAGTTAAGCAAATGTGCCAGAGATGGCGTTTTAGAAAAGCTAGAGATTGAGTACTGTGTGCAAACACATACACAGTTCTCAGATGCCTCTTCAGTACTGTGATTCCGAAAACCATAGTACTAAGCACCACTTCTAGCTACAGGAAACAGCAGGTAATATTCCAACGTATTAACGACAAACAGGTTTGGCTAAGTGAACCACAGTTTGATGTGGAGAACTTAGGAAAGCCTTCAGGTAATGGTAACATCTGAGTCAGTTTTTGAAGGATTGGCAGAACTTCAATACTAACATATGGGGAAGAGGGATGTGGCATTTTGGTCCCGAGGCTGATCTGTGCACACGCACGAGAGTTGGACTGCACAACTAATCTGTGTGATATTTACTTATTATATGGCTGGAGGTAAATAAAGTTTATATCTGGGCCACATCTTTACAAATATACAATTTAATAATATACATATATATTTTTACATATCATGGGATATTCCTTAAATTGACTCCATGAACCTCTACTAAATTACTATGTTGTAGATTTAACTGTTCCCCAAACACTGAGGTTCTCATTTTGATATTCAGTTTCAACAAATTGATGAGTTTATATTAAACTCGTTTTTTACATCTGGTACAATCCTGTCACCTGACTTACTTAAGACCTGTAGTTAGTCACTTGAAAAAGCCATGAAACCTGACCACATACATATTGCATTTAACTACGAATACATAAACATAAAGTCATTCAACCAAAATGTGGTTCTGTATCCAAGAACTGCTCTCCTGGCTCCATATTCTCCATCACACATAGATACCACAGAGTGTCAATGTGATTTCAGTTAGAAAATGTCCGGTTTCAGGGTTTTAAGTAAAGGAAAAATTACAAGGCAATTTGAGTGTACATCCTTCACGCCTTTAAAAAAAAAATTCTCCAGTTTTTCACAGTTGTCTTACCCATATCTAATTAGCTTAAAAAAAAAAAAACTCACCTTTGAGTCTTTCCAAAGCATACAAATTAGTTTTTATTTTAAAAAGCTCCCTTATTTTCTGTGCGCATATTTCATCATTTTATGTAACAGTTTATATTCTGCGGTTCTAGTAACTTGCACCTCTAGTGAGGCAGTAACCACTGAAGGGGCTCATGGAATGAAAGGGAAGTGGAACTTCATTTTTCTTCTTTCACAACCACAGGAGTTTCAACGTGTTAGGTGGGAGGTTGACTTTTATGATGAAATTGAAGGTAAGTCTATTTTCAGACTTATCTATTGCTAAATTAATATCCAGCACATCAGGCTTCTATTTTACAACTCAATCAGAACTGATACACATACTGATAACAGAATTCCAGCAGCTGCATTTCCTACTGCCTCACAGACTGCCTTTCTGCATTGAATTTGAGAAAAAGTTCTCAAGCACAGTGAACATGTATCATCTTCCTATATTTTGTGTAAGAAATGAAGCTCACTTAGGATTACTGTATTTCCTAATTAAAATATGCCATTCGTATCTCATAATACTAAAGTCAATTTTTTTTAAAGTTGGCCAGCATTTAGCAGGCATTAGTCATCCCATCTTTCAATGCTTTTCCTACCCCCGGATGATCAAGACAGGGAATGTAGCTGCTGGTCTTCAAGCTCTCCATGGAGTTGCCAGTATAGAAACTGAGCCTCAATCACTGAATCTTAACCACTTGTTTCCCTGCCATTACTCATTGTTCATATTTGTAAAGACAAGTTCTAAGATGATGTATACTTATTTGTAACAATAATAGGAACTGTTTTCTGCAAGGCAAAACTTTTTAAAGTTCTGCTATTCATACAACGAATCTCTAACGTAGGTTACCATGTGATATGGTTTGGCTGTGTCCTCACCCAAATCTCATCTTGAATTGTAGTTCCCATAATCCTCACGTGTCATGGGAGGGACCCGGTGGGAGGTAATTGAATCATGGGGGCAGATACCTACATGTTATTCTCGTGATAATGAGGGAGTTCTCCCGAGATCTGATGGTTTTATAAGTGGCTTTCTGCCCCCACTTTGCTCTGCACTTCTCCTTGATGCTGCCATGTGAAGAAGGACATGTATGCTTCCCCTTCCACCATGACTGTAAGTTTCCTGAGGCCTCCCCAGCCATGCAGAACTATGAGTCAATTAAACCTCTTTCCTTTGTAAGTTACCCAGTCTCAGGCAGTTCTTTATTAGCAGTGTGAGAATGGACTAATACACCATGTATATCATATTTTTAATATTTAAATAGTCAAGTAACATTTGTTCACACCCAACAACTTCATTATCTTCACGTTTCAAAGTATATTGCCAAATCTCTCAATAGCAAATTCAAGGCCTCTGGCAAGAAGAAGAAGGAGAAGGAGGAGTACCCAGAAGCAGTTCCTCTCTGATCATTTGGAAACTTCTGGAGAAGTACCATCTTCAGGAGAGAGCCACCCACAGACAGGGATGTGGGAGGCAGGTTGTAAGAGCAGCACTGGCTCACATTTACCTGTATGAGCTGCAAAAAGAGTTATGTGTTTGGCCAGCGGGCCAGAACCGTGGGGCAATACTGAAGCCCTAGAGATTTTGGCTTGACACTGAGAAACATGGGGAATTTTCCTCAGGTCAGAGCACTAACTCATTCCAAGACAGCGAGTCTAGACAGCCCATAAGACTTGTTGAAAGCCTTAGAGAGAGATGCCCTGGGCTCCGCAGCCATCCCAGAAGAGGGAGCGCAGACTGCACTCCGAAGTAGAGTACCTAGAGCCTGGAGGTGGAGCATCTAGGCAGGCATAAACTCTACCCAGCAAATGTTCATTCTCTTTCCATAAGGCAGATTTCTTTTCCCGTTGTAACTTGGATGTATGTTATTCAGACAATAACCCGATGTTTTCCTACAAACAGACCTCAGCAGCTCTGAGCAAGATTAGGGCTCGGATTTCAGTTTCCACGGCTGCCTGGAAGCATCCTTTTCCTGACGGTCAAGATCTCAGAAATTCTCGACCCTGAAAGATGCTTTCTGCTGCCTCTGCTCAGAATTAATACAGAACTGGGCAACAGAACACTTTTAAGGTGGATCTTAGGATCATAAGCCCTTTTTGGCTGCCAAAACCATCTCTCCTGTAACACCTTACAGTTATTCTCACTGTTGCTTACTGAGACTTTTATGAGGGTTAGGTTTTCCAGGCATGGGTGGAGACAAGGAGGCAGGCTGCAGCAGGGCTTGGAGATGGAAACACTCAGCATGACGGCGATCGCCCAGGGAGTTACTTCTTAGCATGGAGACATATGTACTTCTTGTGAAATGTTCACTTTCTCAGTTCAGCAAATCTCCTTCCTATGGATGAATTTTTAGGCAGAAATTCATATAGTGCCTCCAGGTGTCCAGGAGCCTGCCACACTACTCCTTTAAAGTCAAAATGAGTTGCTGCACCCTATATAATAAGCAAGATTCTTGAAAAATCACTGGAAAGAGGCTTATTTTAGATATCTGGGCCTGATTCAAGATACTGTGCAATAATGTCTGGCGTGAGCATCTTTTGGTTGACTTTTCAGGACTGATCTTATTATCCAATTTGTTGTTTTATAATCATGTAACTGTGTTTATTTCCTTTCCTGCTCTGACCAGGTCTGCACAGGTTCCTGGTACTGGTTCCCACCATTCTCCATTGTACATTTTTACCTGTTATAGATTTTTACTCATTATAGATGCAGCATATGCAGTTAGTGTTCTAAAATCAGCATGTCTGGTTTAAATGCCAGCTTTGCTGCTGTTTGAGTGTGGACAAGTTACATCGCACCTCTGGGTGCCTTGGCTTCCTCATGTAAAATGAAGATCATCTAACAGGGACTTAGGAGTTGGTGGACATTAAATAAGTGAATACAGTATGTGTAAAACACTTAAAGCAATGGACGGTACATTAAAAGGCCCAATAAATGTGAGCTGCTGTTGTTATTACGATTATGGTAGAATATATGGAACCACCAGCAAAGGTTTCATTCACCTTTAACCTCCTTTAGGAAATATGCTACATTTTCCTGAAGATCTGAGTGCTCTATTGGAAACAGCCAATTTTGTTTTCATGAAGTAGAGTTACTATTTTGCTCTCCTGGGTTGAAAGAGAAAAGATTTTTTGCTCAATCACATCCCCCTGCTTTACGGCAGCTTCATCTGCCATCAGCAAGAGCACTTGAAATGCTTTGAGGGCAGCTTCCAGAGAAGGGAGTCCTTAAAAATCCATGCAGACAAATGTTCAGGGGAAAGGTCCTTGTTCATCTAAATACACTCAGGGACGGAGGCAAGGCCACAGGGACTACTCTCTCCAGGCTCTTCTGCAGCCCACAGCTGCCCTCCAACGTGGAAGACTTGTGTGAAATTATTTTCAAGTAACAAACTTCTGTCAGATCCCACATAATCATCTATGGCAATGACTCCGTGTCTGGGAAGCGGCTGCATGTGTTTAGACTCAGGTAGGAGCTCCATATTCATGCCACCAAAGGAGTTAAAAATATGATGTTCTGGCATATTGGCTGTTTTGATTTAAGGGAACCTAAAAAACAGCAGGCACAAGAAGATCACTGTGACCTTCGTTCTGTTTCTTAAAGGCAGGAGGTGAAACTCCCATGTGAAAGATGTCCTTCCTACCCCAAAAGGAAAGTAGCATTCTTATCATCAAGGATAGAAGGTTGAATCCAAGGGAAATCTGCACAAAGGTTGTTAACTAACCCTTATCATCCTAGTTCCTTCTCCAATAATTACCTACCCTAGGCCAAGCCTGCTGGCCTTATCGCATTTTACAACTTATCTTTGTTTGTCCAATTCAATATATAAAAATAACTGACTGTGTTTTTTTTTTAATCTTTATTTTCCTTTGAGGGCTCCCGTGCCACATAAAACTTATATTAAATAAATTGGTGTGCTTTTCTCCTGTTAATTTGTTCTGTCAATTTTTTTTTTCTTAGAGATGGGGGTCTCACTATGTTGCCCAGGCTGGTCTCAAACTCCTGGCCTCAAGCAATCCTCCTGCCTCAGCCTCCCTAGTAGCTGGGATTACTGTGCCTGGCTTAATTTGTCATGTCCATTTAATTCTCAGGCCCAGCCAGGACCCTAAGAGGATAGAGGTAAAGCTTTGCCTCCCCTGCATCATTTAACTGCCACTACTACCTGCAGAGGTCAACTAAATCTTATTTTATAATTATGACTCTGAAGTACAGAAAGATCATTCAACTGGAGCTTGAATCTAAAGCTCATGTTCTCTGCACTGCAAAATTCATGTCTCTCAGCTCTTTCTTTCTAAAAACCATCCCTTATAACATCCCCACCTCCTTCAAATACTGTCAATGCACAGCAATTTGAAATTATTTTCTTATTAAGGATTTAAAATTGTTTGCAATAGTTTTTATCTATTGAGGATGGGCTTTTTACTTTTTTTTAAAAGCCATCTATAAGAAGATATATCTGTACTTTGGGTAGGCCAGTTGGACAAGAGTTACATCAAAGTGCATGACCACAGACAGTTGTGTGCACCAAATCACCAAATGTAACACCATGCCATCATGTTCCTGTGCCCTCCCCTAAACAAACAGAAAAAGCTGAGGAAGTTCTTAGAGAACGAGATGACACTTTTCACAAATAACAAATGCTTCCCTGAGGGATTTTCAGTTATATGCATCACTGCTCATTCTATATATGTCTTCACAGAAGAATAACTACCATTTCTTATAGTGCAAATGAAACAAACTTGGTCTGATTTCAGTCTGGAAGCTCATTATGTGACACATGGTGGCCATTAGTAACCAGGAGATTCTCAAGGGTGAAGGAACCTTGCATTGAGGAAGTCATAGCCTCTGCAAAATTAAACAGGGAAAATAACATGGGAGTTAAGGAATTCTTGAAAAAAAATTAATCATGGAATACAAAAAGAGATTCATTCCCATTGGATATAGATCAAACTTTTGTAAATTAAGAATTTAAGATTCACTTATCTCTTAAATAGTCAGATTTAATCAGGGTACCCTTCCCATAGATAATTATTCACAGTCCAAACGGAATCAACTGCTAATTCTATACAATTTCTCCCTTCAGTTATAATGAAATATCAACACTTTTAATTTTATGAATTCAGATGAAATGTTTACCAAAACTTTAACACTTAAAAAAAGTGCCATTATGAGTAATAAACTTGCATTCAAACAGCTAATCGGCCCTGGGAGACTCCACCCATTAACAGTCATCCCATTAAATGAACAATTTGGGCCCTTTAAAATGTAAAAATACTATAGAAAAGGAAACCTAAACCAAATAAAACCTATGGTAGTAAGACAACCTCTCCATCAAATTCCTAAAAAAGTGGGAACACGGGCCTTAACAGTCTATATAGTTGCAGATGAAATCGTTTCCTTCAAGTCCAAATAGTTAATGTAAAGTTTTATTTGTTTCTCTTAAGAACGTACTATAACCAATTACCAAAATGTAAATTATTATTTTATTTTTTAATAAAATTTTAAATTTTTAGTTTTCGTGGATACATATTAGGTGTATATATTTATGGGGTACATGAGATATTTTGAAATAGGTATTTTACCTCAGGGTAAATAGCGTATCCATCACCTCAAGAATTTATCCTTTCTTTGTGTTATACACAATCCAATTCTACTGTTTTAGCTATTTATTTATTTTTTGAGATGGAGTTTTGCTCTTGTCACCCGGGCTGGAGTGCAATGGTGCGATCTTGGCTCACTGCAACCTCTGTCTCCTGGGTTCAAGCGATTCTCCTGCCTCAGCCTCCCGAGCAGCTGGGATTACAGGTGTGTGCCACCATGCCCAGCTAATTTTTGTATTTTTAGTAGAGATGGGGTTTCACCATGTTGGCCAGGCTGGTCTCAAACTCCTGACCTCAGGTGATCTGCCCGCCTCAGCCTCCCAAAGTGTTGGGATTATAGGCATGAGCCATGGCGCCTGGCTGTTTTAGTTATTTTTAAATGTACAATAAATTACTGTTGACTATAGTCACCTGGTTGTGCTATCAAATACTAGATATTATTCATTTGATCAAAGTATAAACTTTTAAATAGCCAAACACAGATTTAAAAAAAACCAAGTAATATAGAAGAACTAAATAAAATATAATACGGTCCACTACCATGGGAACTACACTGTTCTTGGCTACAATGTCCATATTTAATGAGTAATACACCTGGAATTTAAAAAAGCATAAAGATCTCTCCTTTAAAATCTTTGCAGTTTAAAAGGAATCCAGATAAGGGCTCTGTGTAGCACAGTGGCCATTTCAAGTGAGTGTGGAGAAATACTTCCCTCTGGGCTAGTGCTGAAGATCTGAGACAGTCCTTTAGGAAGCTAGGCCTGTTCTCTCCTGTTTGGAAATGGCTCTTCCCCAGTAGGTCCCCATCTAATTTCAGCATCTGGGGAACCAGCTTGGACATTCCTTCATTAAAATGGGTTTCATGTGTGTCCCACTCTCCTTTCGGAACTCCAGTACTCACGGCCCCTATGCAGTGAAGAGAGGGTCCCAAATGTTTGGAGGTAATAAACAACACACACCTGCCTTCTTATTGAATGATTTCCAGCACTTCCAGCAGTAACTAGGTCATAACCACACAATTAGCCCTTCATCCTGATAAAGTAGTTTTCTGAAGAAACCAGGATTCTATGAAGTAATCATAGTTTTAAAACTAGTTATGGGCCGGGCGCGGTGGCTCGTGCCTGTAATCCCAGCACTTTCGGAGGCCAAAGTAGGCAGATCACCTGAGGTCAGAGTTTGAGACCAGCCTGGCCAACATGAAGAAACCCTGTCTCTACTATAAATACAAAAATTAGCTGGGTATGGTGGCAGGTGCTTGTAATCCCAGCTACTAGGGAGGCAGAGGCAGGAGAATTGCTTGAACCTGGGAGGTGGAGGTTGCAGTGAGCCAAGATCGTGCTACTGCACTCCAGCCTGGGTGACAGAGCAAGACCCTGTCTTTTAAAAAAAAAAAAAAGATATGTTAGTGAAATGCTGTCCTGTGAACTCCATATTCTAGTTCCATCTCACAGATAAATGTAAAAAAATGCTGTCACCACCTACCAAGTTTTGATGGTTCTTCTCTCTAAGGACTAATTAAGTAATGAAGTTCAATAAAGGACCAGAAAAAAATTCTAGAGTATTCTTAATTAATTTTTCTCTATCTTGGGCAAGGGAGATTTGAGATAAATTTCTTTACTACTTATCAATAGCGCTATTCTAGTAGATGTTAGGATGCTTTCAGCAAATTCCAAATTTTCTTTTTATTTTGTAAGATACTTGTTAATAATTGCTAATTAGGTTGACTATAACCCAAAGAGGGGGAAAAAAGTCCTGTAAGCTTGACACATGAAATAGCAACTCTTCTCCTTATTACTATATTTCTGAGAAAAGCTCACTTAAATTTCATTCATTCCCACTAAAAATATACATCTAAAACAATCTATGTCAATGTGCTGACAATCTGTCATCCTAAAGAAATTTCTTCAGCTGTCATTGAGTGCCATGGAAAAGAAATCGACCAAATATGCTAAACATGGGCACAGAAGGTCTTTGCACTTGTGAATTATGATTTATTATTTACTATAATATTCATATTTAAAAGTTAATGTAATGTATAGAAACATAAGCATTTTAAATATCTTCTTAAAACTCAAAAATAGTGAGGGATATGAAGCTCTGACAGCCGAGTGAAAATCCCTCCCTGCCCCAGCACATTTGAACCATCTAACCTCTCAGGAATGAGAAAATTGAATGCAAGAAAATTCCCTGCTACTATTCACATATGCATATATAAAGTACAACTTTTCCAGTCTTAAAGGAGACTAAGCTTTAGTTTTTTTCCAACTGTTCCCTGGTTTATAATGCATAGAATTAATATCTTGATCACAGTCCTGTTTCTTGAATCAAAACTCAGTCATGGATGGCTGGATCACTCTCGGGAGGCTGAGCTACCGAGATTACAAACAAGAGGCTGACACTTGTGCATGAGCTGGACATCCTATAAATCCCATAAAAATGATTACAAGAAAATATGAGATGGTGGGGGCAGGCAGAGAGAGAGAGAAGGTGTGTGTGTGTGTGTGTGTGTGTGTGTGTGTGTGTGTAGGAGAGGGAATGCGTTGGGGCAGAATTTCAATATCAATAAAAGACCTTTCTGATAGATGTTATCCTTGGCCTGATTCAAATACCAAGAAGCAATTACTGGAATATATATATCTGTTTCTTATTTATTTTTAGATATAGTTTGCATACAATAATTATTCATCCTTTTTAATGTACAGTTGTGAGTTTTGATAACTGCGCACCCTTGTGTAACCACCATAATCAAGACACCGAGTATTTCTGTCACTCTCCCAAACCCTTTGTGCTCCTTTGTAGTCACCCTTTTCCTCCACCCAAAGACCCTGGAAACCACAGATCTAATTTTGGTCCCCACAGTTTTTGTCTTTTTCAGAATGTCAAATAAGTGGAATCATGCATTTATACAAAATCATACGAAAGGGTGTCATTTTTGAGTCTGGGTTCTTTCATGTAGCACAATGCATTTGCACAGCAAAGCACTGTATTCTGTGTATTGCTCCTTTTTGTTGCTAAGTAATATTCCACTGCATAGGTATACTGCACAGTTATCCACTTCTCAGTCAAGGGACATATAGGTTGTTTCTAGTATTTGGTAAGTAGAAATAAAGCCACCGTAAGGTTTTACCAAGGCAGCTGCACCATTCTGAATTCCCACCTCTTCTTTCTTCAAGATGGAAAACATGCTGCTCATGGCCATCAGGCCAGCTCTAAACTCACAAACTCCTTGAGAGCCTCTGTCCTCCCTCTGTCTTCTCCCCATCTCAAAAACAAACCAACCAAGTACGAAAAATATACAGAAGTTTGAAAGAGGTAGGGATGATGTATTGATGACGATTACCTCCTTCTCCCCCATGTCTGTGCTCTTCAAAATGGCTTAAACCATTCTCCAGGGCCTTCTGGTCATGTGCAACTGGATGAACAGGGCACACGTCTTCAAATGACAATCTCAGCTAAAGAACTGGGGTGGGGAATTGTTTTTAAAAGTAAAAAGATTCAAAATGTGGTCACCTGAGTACACTCATGACATCAGAAAAATCCTGAATTTCAACATAAGCTCATACCAGTGGCCTTCACCGTGACATATTAGATAGCAAAGGATTTCTCTGCTATCTCGTTAATGGCTAACACAAAATGTCTTTGCTATTACCAACAACAGTTTTTTCCAGTAAAGATAAAAAAAACACTAAGTCTCCCCTGAGAAAGCCTGATAGTACATGTAGTATTTGTATGTATGTACTTGTGTACATACAATTATACACATATATGTGCACACATATGTACTTCTACATACATGTGTGTATAATACACATACACACATTTGCACAATATAAAGATAAAATATAGACAACCCATGGCATTAAACATAGCGTATAGGAGAATTTTGCCTAATCTAGATAAATAAAATTTTCATCTCTATGCTTGTTACCATGTCATGTAGAAATGGCTGGGCAGGTTTTCATAAAATATTTGGGGTGACCCGACTTAATATAAAGTCTATGTAGTACTCTTGTAATTTACTCTGAAAACCTCTAGGCAATAACTCAGAGAATCAGGCATTCTCCAGAGCAATTAAAACAGGTATGTGAAAAAGTCTTTGTACTGATGGTCACTTGATCACTTTATGCAGGCAATGAAGACAGTTTCAAATATTAACTCAAAATTGAAAGTCACAAGGCAGATGTTGGAATTGCAAGCACTGCTGTGAAAATCCCTTTGTTTCTCTGAACTTTTTACAGTCAGTGTGGGAAAAGGTACCACTCCTATGAAACAATTCCAAAGTTTTGCTCTTCTCTTCTCTTCTCTTCTCCTCTCTTCTCCTCTCTTCTCTCCTGCCCTCCCCTCTCTCCCCTATCCCTCCTCTCCTCTCCTCCCCTCTCCTTCCTTCCTTCTTTCCTTCCTTTCTTCTTTCTCTCTCTCTCTTTTTCTTTTCTTTTTTTTGAGACAGGGTCTCATTGTTGTGCTGTGATCATAGCTCACTGCAGCCTCGACCTCATGAGCTTAATCAGTCTTCCTGCCTCAGCCTCCCAAGGAGCTAGCTAGGACTACAGGCCCATACCACCACCCCCGGCTATTTTTTTTCTTTCTTTTAGTTTTTGTAGAGATGAGGTCTCACTTTGTTGCCAACACTGCTCTTGAACGCCTAGGCTGAAGCAATCCTCCTGCCTCAGCCTCCCAAAGAGCTGGGATTACAGGTGTGAGCCACTGTGTCTGGGCCCAAAGTATTTCCTAACCCTTCTAACTAGATCATAAATTCCCTCAAGGACCATAATTACATTTTTTGTTCATTTCATTAGTTTCAAAGCAATCAGGAAAGTGGTAGTCGGTAAATAATACATACTTAGTGAGTCTCTATTAATTATCTAACCACTAACTGGCCAAGGCACTTGACCTAGGCCTTGAAGAGCACAGCAGCCCACACAGAAGCACACAGATAGGCTTGATGAGACATATTAAAGACAACTAACCACCTGCAGAAAGTGTTTTCTGTTTGTGGCTAAACACTGTTCGGTCAGTTACATATGGATGACAAAACCTGCTGCTGAGAGGAAATAAGCAGGATTATTTTATTGTTTGCATCTGGGCTGCCAAAAAATGAAAGCCTTTATACTTGAATTGCACACTAAATGTATACAGATCATAACCAGAGTCTGATATCGGTACATTGTTTACATGAAGTTTTTGATTAGCAACTTTTGCAGCTCAAGGGAGATGGTTAACTTATTTTATTTCCTTTTCTGGTTCTTAAAATGGAGTTATTAGCCATACTCACGGACACAAATAGAATTCTACACACTGCTCTAAAAAGTTTTTAATTTAAGCAATTTAGGTTCTGGTACATCAAAATCAACACTAAAATGATTTTTGCTTTATTTCTGCAAATAGAAGGTGGCTAGGTTAGCTTTTAGGGTAGGTTTCTCTTGCAAGTCTCCCACAAAAAAAGGTGAGCATATACGAAATTTATCTAAGCTTTATAGATTGAAAATATACTCAGCAGCAAGAAGGAAACAAGGGTCTAGTAAAATGTATTTTCCATCTTCGGATCAACAAATATTAACACTAATGGGCTGGAACATGTCATTGTTGCTTGTTCTTATGGTAAAGAGCTCCACAGAAGGCAAATTTTAAGAGTGTCCTGAAGGGAGGATGATGAATAGGCTTTGAAAGAAACCAGTAAAATCATGTTCTGGGAGGAGAGAAACCACTTTCGCATGGAGTCCTTCCAGCAACTTCCAGGCAGAGTGGACTGCTTAGTAGGAGTAGCTGGAGTGTGTGTGTGTGTGTGTGTGTGTGTGTGTGTGTGTGTGTATGTGTGTGTGTGTTTAAGTTCGGGGATACATGTGCAGGTTTGTTACATAGGTAAACTTGTGTCATGGTGGTTTGTTGTACAGATTATATCACCCAGGTATTAAGCCTAGTACCCATTAGTTATTTTTCCTGATCCTCTCCCTACTCCCATCCTCCACCCTCCAATAGGCCCCAGTGTGTGTTATTCCCTTCTTTGTGTCTGTATGTTCTTATCATTTAGCTCCTGCTAACTGAGAACATGTGGTATTTAGTTTTCTGTTCCTATGTTAGTTTGCCAACGATAATGGCCTCCAGCTCCATCCATGGTCTTGCAAAGGACATGATCTCGTTCTCTTTATGGCTGCATAGTATCCCATGGTGTATATGTACCACATTTTCTTTATCCAGTCTATCATTGATGGGCATTTGGGTTGATTCCATGCCTTTGCTATTGTGAATTGTGCTGCAATGAACATATGCATGCATATGTCTTTATAACAGAATGATTTATATTCCTTTGGGTATGTATCCATCCAGTAATGGGATTGGTTGGCCAAATGGTGGTTCTGTTTTTAGGTCTTTGGGAAATCATCACACTGTTTTTCCACAATGGTTGAACTAATTACACTCCCACCAACAGTGTATAAGCATTCCTTTTTCTCCACCACCTCGCCAACATCTGTTATTTTTTGACTTTTTAATAATAGCCATTCTGACTGGTGTCAGATGGTATTTCACTGTCATTTTGATTTTTCATTTCTCTAATGATCTGTGATGTTGAGCTTTATTTTGTAAGCTTGTTGGCCACTGTGTATGTCTTCTTTTGAAAAGTGTCTGTTTATGTTCTTTGCTTATTTTTTTTTTTTTTTTGAGACAAGGTCTCACTTTGTTGCCCAGGCTGGAGTACAATGTTGCAATCACAGCTCACCACACCTCAACCTCTCAGGCTCAAGCGATCCTCCCACCTCAGCCTCCCAAGTGGCTGGGACTATGGGCATGCACCACCATGCCCAGCTAATTTTTGGACTTTTTTTTTTTTTCTATAGAGACAGGGTTTTGCCATGTTTCCCAGGCTGGTCTCAAACTCCTGGGCTCAAGCAATCTGCCTGCCTCCCAAAGTGCTGGAATTACAAGCATGAGCCACTGCGCCCAGCCTACCCACTTTTTAATGGGGTTGTTCTTTTTTTCCTGTAAATTTGTCTAAGTTCCTTATAGATGCTAGATATTAGACCTTTGGACCTATATAGTTTGCAAACATTTTTTCCTGTTCTGTAGGTTGTCTATTTACTCTGTAGATAGGTTCTTTTGCTGTGCAGAGGTCTTTAGTTTAGTTAGATCCCATTTGTCAATTTTTGCTTTTGTTGCAATTGCTTTTGCCATCTTCATCATGAAATCTTTACCCATTCCTATGTCCAGAATGGTATTGCCTGGGTTATCTTTCAGGGTTTTTATAGCTTTGGGTTTTACATTTAAATCTTTAATCCATCTTGAGTTGATTTTTGTATATGATGTAAGGAATGGTACAGTTTCAATCTTCTGCATATGACTAACCAGTTATCCCAGCACCATTTATAGAATAGTGAGTCCTTTCTCCATTTCTTTTGCCAGCTTTGTGGAAGATCAGATGGTTGTAGGTATGTGGTCTTATTTCTGGGTTCTCTATTCTGTTCCCTTGGTCTTTGTGCCTGTTTTTGTACCAGTACCATGCTGTTTGGGTTACTGTAGCCCTGCAGCATAGTTTGAAGTCAGGTAACACTGATGCATCCAGCTTCGCTCTTTTTGCTTAGGATTGCCTTGGCTATTGGGGCTCATTTCTTTTTGTTTCATATGAATTTTAAAAGTTTTTTCTAGTACTATGAAGAATGTCACTTGTCGTTTGACAGGAATAGCATAGAATCTATAAATTGCTTTGGGCACTATGGCCATTTTACTGATTCTTCCTATCCATGAACATGGAATGTTTTTCCATTTGTTTGTGTCATCTCTGATTTTTTTGAGCAGCGTTTTGTATTTCTCACTGTAGAGGCCTTTCACCTCCCTAGTTACCTAAGTACTTAATTCTTTTTGTGGCATTTGTGAATGACATTGTTTTCCCGATTTGACTCTTGACTTGACTGTTGTTGGTGTATAGGAATGCTAGTGATTTTTGTACAATGAATTTATATCCTGAGACTTTGCTGAGGTTGTTTATCAGTAGTGGGGTTTTTTGGTTTTGTTTTGTTTAAACACTAGAGTTTTATTTTTAGCTAACTTTGCAATAAAATCATTTTACAAAATTCGAAACAAGTTAATTACATTATTGTGTTTTGTCTTCTGATCCTTAATATTTTACAAATTGTAGTGACTGCATATGCTATTATTTTATACTGAATTTTAACTTAATTCCAAGCATAATTCCATTATTTCCAAGCATTGACACAGTTAACATTATTGTCATTTAAAAGATCTATATATCTATGATTTTGAAATACCATGGACCACACATCCATCCTCAATTCAACCAGCGTTCACTATTTCTGTTTAGAATCTGAGTTTCTCAACACCCTGGGGCATGAGTTTTAAAGAAACAAGTACATCAGTTTTCATGTTTCATTTACCTGCTCTTCATGTAACTCAAGCAAAGCATATGAGCTTCTGGGATTCTAGGCTAATTAATGAAATCTATAAATACCAATTTGGGTCAGGGGAGAAGATGAGGCCACAGATGATGTGCAGAGAATGATTTCTCAGTTGTAAACTGGTGACCACACTGCTGAAATACAATTGATTCTTAGCGCACCAATTATTCTGAATGCACAAACAGGAAGCAAGCCCACTCAAGAGTTAATCTAACAGATGTAATCATGGTGATTTTGCTCTATGGTAATGATATATAGTTGCAATATATAACAGCCATGTTTAAGGTAGAGCTGTCTTTAAGGTAGAGCAAGGGAAGACTTAGCCCCTTCCCCAGAAGGTTTCCAGGAGAGCATCAGTGACTGCCATGCTGTTGTGGGGAAGATTCTGGATTAGGAGGGTTGCAGCCAGGCCACCTGGAAGACAGGGCTTCTAGCTCAAGCCATGCAAACGTGGGCACACCTTCTAACCCCTCTCGGCCTCAGTGTCTTCTTCTATAAAGTGAGGAAAACAGAAGGACATGCATCAGAAGGTTTGTGGGGATGAAGTAAACTCATATAGGAAAACCCTGTGGTTGGGGAACAACAGACTAGAAGAGCTTCCAGCTCTTAACAATGCCATAATTGTATGGTCTATCGATGTTAAATACCTTAAAATACTGCAAATGGCAAAGAGGAAGGCTCACTCTGTGGTCGGCACTTTGCTAAAGGTTGTCCTGTATGATTTTACTTCACCCTCATAAACTTTTTGATGTATGTACTTCTATTTTCCTCACTTTACAGGAAAGGATAATGAGGCTGAGATGGGTCAGGAGGTGCAGCCAAGTTTTCACGGCTTGAGCTGGAAACTAGGTCCCACAGCTGGCCTGGGTGCGGGGCCTCACCTGTAACCATGCTGCTCTCTGCTAGTGGCAGGCACCAGTGAGACCACCAACAGAGGAGTGGTTCCAGGGAAAGCCATGTCTGTGGGTCCTGGCATTTCTTCTGCGCAGAAAGGGCTGGCAGGCATTGGTCACCAGGCCAACTCCTCCGTCTTCTACCATCGTCTTGCTTGATTACTGTCAATGCTATTCTGGTCACATTTTACTCAAGCCCTTCTTTAAACTATGATATAGTCCCTGGAGTCCAGTGACTTTCTGATCCCTGGTTCCCTGGTTCCCAGACCCCAAAGCTGGACTTCCAGGACTCCCCAACCATGGGAAACCTATGCCGGAGAGGCCCTGAGGCAGAGAGGCCCGGCCAATGGTGTTATGGAACCAGAGGCCCCTGGGCCAAGTTTTTGCTTGACTTTTCCCACATGTAACCAAAGTGAGGAGGAGAGGCAAATAAGTCCATGCAGCAACGCTGAATAAGGAAATGAAACTGATCCCCATTTTTTAAGGTATTTGCCAAGTAAAATGGAAACTACCTTTACACTAAAACCTAAAATGAGTGTGTACAGAGGCATTATTCATAATCACCAAAATTAGGAAACGGCCCAAATGTCCTTCAACAGGTGAATGAATAAACTGTGAAACACCCATGCAATGGAATACCACTCAGCAATAAAAGCAATAAATTACTGATCCAACGACATGGATGAATCTCAGATGCATTATATTGAGTAGAAGAAATTGGAATCAGAGGGTCATAATACTGTACAATTCCATTCATACAGCATTCTGAGAAATGCAAAACTATAGGTCAGAAAACAGACCAGCTGTTGCCAGGAACTGAGTCCCCTGAGGGGGACAGGGGTTAACTACAGAGGAGACTGGGGAATTTTTGGAGCCAGTGTCATACTGTTCTTATCTGGGTGTAGTAGGAAGCAAGCCCACTTCCTGGTGATGGCACTGGTTTATGTGTTTGTCAAGAGTCATAGTACTATGGCTGGGGACGGTGGCTCATGCCTGTAATCCCAGCACTTTGGGAGGCCAAGGCAGGTGGATCACTTGAGGCCAAGAGTTTGAGACAAGCCTAGCCAAAATGGCAAAACCCCGTTTCTAAGCAAGTCCTGAGTGACCTACTAAAGATAATTTTTTAAAAAATTAGCCGGGTATGGTGGTGGACACCTGTAATCCCAGCTACTGGGGAGGCTGAGGCAGGAGAATCGCTTAAACCCAGGAGGCAGAGGTTGCAGTGAGCTGAGATCCACCACTGCACTCCAGCCTGGGCAACCAGAGTGAAACTCTGTCTCAAAAAAAAAAAAAAAAAATCATAGAATTGTGCATTAAAAAGGGTTAATTTTACTCCGTGTAAATTATACCTTATTTTTAAAAAATAAAATAATATACTATACAAATAAGCACTTTCAGTAGAATAAAGGCAACCTCTAAGGTGGAACTAACAGGGAAGTAAAAGCTTCTAGTTAACAGTTCATGTTAAGAAAAGCAACTTTCAAATGGGCAAGGGACTGACAAAAAAGATTATTAAAACAACATGCAGTTTAATTAAACGAATAAAAATAAACTTCATCCTATAATTCCTGGGTAAAAGAGGACAATATTTTGATCAATATTTCACTGACATGCTCTTGAGGCACATGTAGTATTTAATAGGATGAATCTACTTTGCCTTCTCTCTGTTTGAAAAACCAGGCAAGAAGGCGTGTATATCACTCCTATTCTTGATCCATCTTTAAATAGTCCACTTGATCTGCCAGGACATTGGAACTGAGAAGTTAAGGGCATTCTAAACTCTTAGGACATCTGCTGGAAAACCAATATCGCAGCTCAGATGTATCGTTAGAACGCAATGGAGATTATTTACCACTTGAAAGTACAGACATTTACCAGAAGAGAGATGAGTTTCCTGATGTGATACTTTTAAATAGAAGCTATTTCAACTAAAGGTAAAAGGCAACAAACTCCCAAGTCCAAGAAAAAAAATGACGAATTGCATTCTCATAAATAATTACATTTTACTTGCATACATAAGGGTGTTTTAAAACCGAGGGTCAAAATCTACATCTCACACCTAAGGCTGACCAGCTTAGAGAAAAGGAGCAGAAGGGAACATATCCTGCTCTTGATCCTCTACAAGCAAATGTATGATTGTCAAACATGAGGATCATTTTCCATCATGGTAGTGATACGTCACGAATTCCCGTGTCCTCCTTCCTTTATCTTCTTCCTCATTTGCTACAGAAGGTGCTCTTTCTGTTGGCCCACTGACTTTTCTACAGCCTATACATGAAGTCTCCATTCTTGATCTTGGGCTTTCTATCACCCTAAAGCAGTTATTACTGAAATCCAGTTAGAATGGTGCTATTTGGGTATAGAGAGAGAAAAATGAATAGAAAGGCACGATCAGTGGCTCTGTGCTCAGACATTGTCACAGAAGTAGTTCTAAAACTTAAACGAAATCTGATTTCAAAAGTTTTAGACAACTATGTCTCTACTGGCAAAAGAAAGAACAGAAAGAAAAAAATGAGAGCAACACAAACTAAAATGAAAAGAAAACTTAGCAAGGAAAAACCTAATTGGTAAAGTCAACTACATAAGAATGAAAGGCTCTTTGAGAATTTCAGCCAAAATAGAAGTTCTATTAAGGTAGAAATGTGTTTAAAGAATTCAATCAAAATTATTATTATTATTATTTTTTGAGAAGGAGTCTCACTCTCAGCTTATTGCAGCCTCTGCCTCATGGGTTCAAGTGATTCTCCTGCCTCAGCCTCCCGAGTAGCTGAGATTACAGGTGTGTGCCCCCATGTCCGGTTAACTTTTTGTATTTTTAGTACAGACAGGGTTTCACCATGTTGGCCAGGCTGGTCTTGAACTCCTGACCTCAGGTGATCTGCCCACCTCAGCCTCCCAAAGTGCTGGGATTACAGGCATGAGCCACCACACCCAGCCAAAATTATTCTTTATTCTTTCAAAAGATAGGGTTAAACACAATATAATAGAAATGTAGGCCACGTGTGGCTCATGCCTGTAATCCCGGCACTTTGGGAGGCCGAGGCAGGCAGATCATGAGGCTAGGAGTTTGAGACCAGCCTGACCAACATGGTGAAACCCCATCTCTATTAAAAAACAAAAATTAGCCGGGCGTGGTGGCATGCACCTGTAATCCCAGCCACTCAGGAGGCTGAGGCAGGAGAATCGCTTGAACCCAGGAGGCAGAGGTTGCAGTGAGCTGAGATCACGCCATTGCACTCCAGCCTGGGTGACAGCGCGAGACTCCTTCTCAAACAAAAGAAAAAAAAAGAAATGTATCTTCTAGTACTTGAAGGGTATAGTTCTCTGCATGAAAATTACACCGGGAAAGATTTCAGTTGGATAAGAAAAGCATTTCCTAAAAGGAAATACAAATAATATGTTACTTAGGAAATCTTCTCTTACATTCTAAAAAAACAAACAAAACCCAAAAACCAAAATGTCCAAAAGATTCTTACGTGTGTGCCTCTACTGAAATGTAGTCAATGGATTATTTGCCCTTAGGGAAGTCATAACCAATTTGGAAAAATAAAAGTAACATTCACCCCTTGCCTGCAATCAGTACTAAACTATGTGGGTGCTGTCTCTGAATGCAAGAGGCCTTTAAGGAAGGGAAGCAAATTGGAATTCGTGAGGTGAAGTGGGCTGGATTCTCATCACTTCTGCCACAGTAACAGGTAGGGTGGGAGAGTGCACCCAGGCTACGAAGCACAGCTCCAGCACAGGGCTGACCTCTCAAAGTTCACGTGAGCCCTGGAAGTTCTTTGCATGGGCTCTGTTTCTGGACTTGCATTTTTTTTTTATTCCAAGGAGATTAAAACATTTTATAGAGTTCCAAAGACTCCATTTTTAAACCATCAATGCCTAAAAACATTTTTTTAGTGCTGGATCTTTATAATGATCCTTTTAGGTAGGGCAGCTGCAAAAACATCATAAAAAAAGCATAGATTGTCACATGGAAAGGGCAGTAAGAGTCTATTTTTATAAAGTTCAAAGTGATTGTGTATCTTGTAGGGAATCCCTCCAGACTGCTAGTATTTCTCTGGCTTAATACCTACCTCTTCCCTGTCCTCTCACCCCCTCTCCACCTTTTGCCAATAAACTCCCAGCTCTATCAACCAGCAGCAACCAGCTGGCCTTTCAGAGAACATTCCTAGGCACGTGTTTAACTAGTTCTCCAGCCATCTTCCGACTGAAATATAAAACCGCAGCATAATGCATTTCTTCTCTGTTAGGTACTAAGGGCTGGGCTAATTGCTGACATTTATCACAGAGCTGGAACAGACAGAGAACATGGATGGGAAAGGCAGGTGCTGGGCTCTCTTTGGCACATTCCCTGACCCTCTCCTCCCACCCCTTCACCTGATCAGCTGCTACTCATCCTTCAGGTCTTAACTCGTTTCATCCTGGGATCCTGAGGCCCTTACCCTACCACGCCTGTAAAGCACCACTTCTAACAGTTCTCATTGCAAGCTGTCTTCCTCTAAGCCAGCCCCACCACACCATATTATAATTGTGGGAATTCTTATCTGCATTCTCTATTTGATTCCAAGAGGAGGGACTGTCCTGTTCCTCTTGTCCCCATGACCCAAGAGTTCTTGACTTGGAGAATGAGCATGCATGAGGCAAGGAAAGCAGAATTCAGAATGTTTACATTTCTAGTTAATTCCCATTTTTCAATTGTCCAATGGGAAACTTCTCTAAGTAGTTTTCCCACCAACATATTACAGTTGCAGTTATTACTCAACAATTGTCAGCACAAGATAGGGACCACCCAGGTAATCATGGACTGTAAGCCCAGATGCTCTTGGGATGGGGTTGGCACCAGGCCTGTGCATGCAGAGGTCTTTGTGCACACAGCCATCAGAGCACTTACGCTGTACAGCCAGGCTCTCCGTCTCCACAGATTCAAACAACCACAGGAAAAAAAAATATTCAGGAAAGAAAAACAGTAAAAATATCAATACAAGAATAAAAAATAGTACATATTTAAAAACTGGGCCAGAAGAGGTGGCTAACGCCTGTAATCCCAGCACTTTGGGAGGCTGAGGCATGTGGATCACCTGAGGTCAGGAGTTCGAGATCAGCCCGGCCAACATGGTGAAACCCTGTCTCTCCTAAAAATACAAAAAATTAGCCAGGTGCGGTGGCACGTGCCTGTAATCCCAGCTACTCGGGAGGCTGAGGCAAGAGAATCAAGTGAACCCAGGAGGCGGAGCTTGCAGTGAGTCGAGATCACGCCATTGCACTCCAGCCTGGCAACAAGAGTGAAACTCCGTCTCAAAAAAACAAAACAAAACAAAACAAAACTGATGCAGTGTAACAACTATTTACATAGCATTTACAATGCATTAGGTATTTAAGTAATTTATAGATGATGTAAAGTATACAAGAGGATGTGCATAGATTATATGCAAATACTACACTATTTTATATAAGGGACTTGAGTATCCACAAATTTTGGCATCTGAAGGTGGGGAGGGTGTATCCTGGAACCAGTACCCTGTGGATACTAAGGGATGACTGTACTCACCTCTTCCCCAACCTGTATTAGATGGGGAACTCTGTGCAGCATGTCCCAGTACCTCAGTCTCAGCATTCTGCCTGCCTTGGAGTAGGTGGTCAACACTTATTAAAGCTTTTAATAGAAAATGGATGGTTCCATACTTGATGAAGCCACAGCCTTTACAGAAAGGTCCATATGTCAATGATATTTTTAAATTTGCCTTTTACTTATTAACATTTTAACACCGCACTCATAGCTGCCAATCTATTCCTTCAAATAAAAGCTGTAACAGGAAACATAAAGCTAACTCTGCCAAGGCAGATGCACAGGACAGAAGAGGAAAGCTTAGCTATTAGGATTTTATCTTTTACCGTGTAATGAAATTTCTTGTGTCCCCCAAACGAAACACATTGTTTTGAGGTATAGTTAAGTCATGCATTATATGCAAGAGGGGAAAAGTCACTGGATGAAATTTTGATCATGGTTTAAAACATCTACTCTCTGTTGATTCTAACATTTAAAATGAAATCCAGCCCAAAGCCAGTGACTTCTTTTATCATTTATAATGAAGCATGGGTTACTAGTAGGACATAGATACCAATTTGTAATAGGGTTGACCAAGTGCATAGCATCTCCGTGCATTAACATATTTAATTAAGGCTCCCCAAACAAGAAGCTAATGACATAATAATGGAAAGAAGGGGTAATTTAGATATGATTTTTTTCTAACAATGTTTGAAGGTCGGGCAAAGGGGTCACGCCTGTAGTAATCTCAACAGCTCAGGAGGCCGAGGCGGGTGGATCACTTGAGGTCAGGAGTTTGAGACCAGCCTGTCCAACACGGTGAAAACTTGTCTCTACTAAAAATACAAAAAATATTAGCTGAGTGTGGTGGTGCACTCCTGTAATTCCAGTTACTTGGGAGGCTGAGGTAGGAGAATCGCTTGAACCTGGAAGGCGGAGGTTGCAGTGAGCCAACACTGCACTACTGCATTCCAGCCTGGGTGACAGAGTGAGACTCCATCTCAAAAAACAAACAAAAAAAAGTTTGAAAAATAATGATTATTTTCAAACAATAATAAAAAATTGATGATAAAACAAAATCTCTCACAGGTCCAACAGAAAAAAATAAAGCTGTAAAACAGCAAAAGGAAATATATGTTTGCAAAACAATTTTAAAAAATCAAAGTATTCATCTACTGAAAACGTTTTGGATTAAAATGGCAATTTATACATGAACCATAATTCATTTCACTTTTTTTTTTGAGACGCAGTCTCACTCTGTCACCCAGGCTGGAGTGCAGTGGCACGATCTCGGCTTCCGCTCACTGCAAGTTCCGCCTCCCAGGTTCACGTCATTCTCCTGCCTCAGCCTCCCGAGTAGCTGGGACTACAGGCACCTGCCACCATGCCCAGCTAATTTTTTGTGTTTTTTTAGTAGAGACGGGGTTTCACCATGTTAGCCAGGATGGTCTCGATCTCCTGACCTCGTGATCCACCCACCTCGGCCTCCCAAAGTGCTGGGATTACAGGCGTGAGAATTCGAAGACACAGAAAAACAAACTGCCAGTAAGGCCTTTTCTCATATCCTGTAGTACAGGGATCCCCAACCCCTGGGCCACGGACTGGACTGGTGCTGGTCGGTGGCTGTTGCAAACCCGACCACATAGCAGGAGGTGAGCGGAGGGCTAGCGGGCAATATTGCCTAAGCTCCGCCTCCTGTCAGATCAGTGGCAGCATTAGATTCTCACAGGAGTATGAACCCTATTGTAAAGCACGCATGCAAGGGATCTAGTTTGCACGCTCCTTATGAGGATCTAATGATAAATGTACTGTGCTTGAATCATCCCAAAGCCATGCCCTCTGTGGAAAAACTGTCTTCCCTGAAACCAGTGTCTGGTGCCAGAAAGGTTGGGAATCTCTGCTGCAGTATAATAAAGGTTTGTTTGCTTGTTTTAGGCTTGTCAGATATTGACAAATTTTTAAACAGCTGTCAACTAAATTCTGCGGTTCAGTTTCATTTGGTCCCCAAATTGCTGTGGTCTTAGAATATCTATTTCTATTTCAGTGATAGTATTTCCAGACCTTCCTGCTAAATATGCATCTCATTTCCTGGCCTTTATCCCCTATCAGTTTAATCACCCCCAAGAAAACACTAAAATTTCTTGTATGTGTTGCCAAAAATAAGTAGACTCCAAGCTGTATATAATATCCACTTTTTCACATCAATATACATATGTTATGGTTATTCTTTGTATTAGGAACCACCAACTAATCACCATTATGATTTCAGACTCATCTCTATTTCAAAAATAATTTGGCATATCTTCCTTATGTTATACCAAAGTTTACAAGAGATCCCTATGATAATTTTTCGAAATATAGGTTAAGTTCAAGTAATGTCCCTATTATTTTTCTATTTGAATTTTATGGCCACTAAAAATGTTATCTATTCCAAATAACCTTTTCCCAGAGGTTCAGAAAGTCCACAAACAAATGCATATGCCACCTAATACATGCTTAAAATGCTGATGCTGCTGTGCTTTGAAACTGTACTCTATTAAGAAAACCCTGAACAACTAACTCATAGTTTGTTAAATAGTGTAGGAGCTTTAAAGAACTTATTCAATCCCTCTCCTTAGGAGATACCACACAGAGGTCAGTCAAGACTTCAAAAATTTATAGGAATCCTTTCCTAACCTCTTTACCCCTAATCTTTACATTTAAGGCAAATTCCTCCCATTGTCAACATCAAAGAGTTTTAAAAATCAGTCTTTGCTTTCTGCTTCTAAATTACATGGAGAGATAGTTACATAATGGCATGATCTATGCCCCAGGCTTAAAACTACAAAATTACATGTAAGTTCTCTGCTTGCCATCTGCCCTACATATTGATAGACAAATTTTCCTAAATCACATTTACTATGTAATTTGACTATTGCAAAAAGAGAAGAAAAAAAAAGGAATCCCAGCTTCCAATGGCAATACTACTCCGACTGAGCCATTCAGATGCCCTTCCCTGGTCACTCACATATCTTTACCCTGCTCTATCTCCTTGCTTTTGCTAATTTCATCCCATTCCCACCCCCAGTGCAGACACACAGGGAATACACACCGCCCCCCTGCCCCACCCACCCCAACCCCACTCCCAGCTGGCTGCCCTGCAAGGCTCTGAAGCTCTGAGCATTCTAGACAACAACAGGATTTTACCTTCTGAGAAATATGGTCCATCTGGCCACGACCATGAAACATAGCATTTAATTAGTTTAATGCAAAACAAAACTATGGGTAAAATTTGTTTTTCAAACCTTCAATAAGCTCGCCAAAGCATACAATCTGTCCTTATACATTTTTGTCTCTCTCAAGGCGATGAAAGCAGCCAAGTGTTTGTGACATTTTTCTCTTTTTTTTTTTTTAGCATCTTAAAATGATTGTACAATATAGATAACAAAGTCTGCCACCATAGCCATTTTTAAGTGTGTGGTCCCATGTTCACACTTGCACTGCAGTTCCAGTGCCCAGCCTTGTGCAACCATCACCACCATCTGTTTGTCTCCAGAGCTCTCTGAGACATTCTGGTCACCGTCTATGGGAGACAGACAAAATCCTCAGTGTGTTTCTAATGATAAAAACCCAGTTTTAATTCATAGAATGGAACACTTAAAAAGTGTTTATCTTGCTGTACATCAATCATACTTGAGTAACACTGATTACAAATAAAGTAAGGAGGATACAGTGGCAGAGGAGGCTGGTGACAGTTGGAACCCAGATCGCAGAGGGGCAGGTGACGGGACGGAGATGGGCATTTCATCAGAAGGCACAGGGAGCCTGGGAAGGGGCTGCAGGAAGCAGCAGCATTCATCACTCTTTCATTGCCAGCATTTTCAAGCACCTCCATTCCAGACATTGTGCCAGACACTGGAATTGATCAGACGTATGTTTCAGAAATCGTATCCTAGCTACAGCGGAGATGGTCAAGGAAGTGAAACTAGCGGTTTTTGTAATCAACCCAGAAAACAGTACTAAATTAAGGCAGCTGCAGGGAGGATGGAGGCACAGGTTGTAGTATTTTCAGTTTTACCTATTAATAGGGCTAACATGAAACCATGTATTGCATAATTTTGTTCCTAGTTTTTAAATCCCTCAAACCAATAGTTATTTTGGCTTGAATTTTATGCGGCACACTCAACAAGCATTAATTAAGATTTGTCAGCAACAAATAACTTGTTGTTGTATAAATAAAAATACGTAAGCATGTGTTATGTTCAAGGAACTGTGGTAAAAATGGTCTAATTAGATCAATATCATTTGGGTGGAATATTTATGGGCTAGTGAGAAAGCTGTTATTCCACAAGGCTTTTGGGGGTTGAAACTGGAGAGAAGTGGAATGTTTATCAGTGCAGGGAATGGCTGAATAGATTGCAGGAAACCCCCCTGTGAAATGGCATGCCCTGGGTCTATACATAGTAACTGGGAATGGTCTCCAGAATACACTGTCAGGTGAAATGAGTTGCAGAAGGCTCTGCACAGCATGATGGCATTTATCTAAAATCCTTGATTTGTTTGTATACATAAATATCTCCATACCTACAGAGAAAAAGGTCAGGACAGATAATACGGAAGGAGGTTTGGGGGCGAGAGTGGAGGGAACTTTCAGTTAGTGTTCCATATAGCAACATGAATACATCCATGTGTTCCTTACACAGAAAAATCCACTTTTATAGGTTAGTATGCCAAGTGAGTAGACTGCATTACATCACAGGCTTACAGTTCTTCCCTACAATCTTTATTGGCAATTCAAGTCCTATAATGATCCTCATAATAATGGCTAAGGCCATAAAATGTGTGTGTGCATGCACACATGTGTATTTTTTTTTAATTTGCCAAATTGCCTTTAGACTACATTTTTAAGTGATTAGTAGTTATGTATCTTAGAGGGCATCTGAGATGACAACATATTGGCTATTGTAAAGAATCGCTCCTTGAGTTACAAGAAAACCATTTAAGATAAATAAGTAATGTATTTAATTTATTCTTACTTAAGTAATTAATTATAAGGGTTACCTTTAGAACAAAAAAGTATTCTTTGCAAATAAGCAAATCAACTTACAATAATCTTTGATCTTACAGTTCACAACACACTAAAATTGCATGCAAGTAAGTAGTACTTTCCTATTTTTAAAACTATATTTGAAGTGCATGTTGATGCGAAAGAAGTAATTTGGCAGTGGTAGGTAGGCTCTGCCTGAGTCAAGGCTCTAACCATATAGGCTCGGTCAAGGATTTTGCTTTCTTGGTTTTCAAATTAATATCCCCGAGAAATACTAAATAGAAAATTGGGCATGGAGTGGTGCAGACTTTAACATTTTCTTTAACTTTATAAAGAATGTTTAAAAGGCTGTTTACAAAAGACCATTTAACAACTGCTGCTCAGCTACAATTGAAATATATTAATTTGAGGCACGCATGTGGCACTTTCAGGGCCTCCTTCCAAATAGAATTTTTCAGGCAGACTAAAATTGCACTCTTCTCAGACTCAGCCCACTTGAAGTAAAAAAAAAAACACCAGCAAGATAGTAGGTGTAAATGACTAAGAAGGGGCCCTAGGGGACGATCTGAAAAGTGAAAGATTGGGAGCTCCACGCAGAATGTCTTGATAAGAAGTCTAGACTATCTGTAATTTGCTGATTGTGAAGAAAACGAGATTATTAAGAAACCGTGAAAGCCAGCAGCTACAGGAGCACAAAATGCTGGGAAGCCTGGGATAGCACGAAGAAACAGAGATTCTAATACCCTTTTACACGATGGTCCATGACCCTACGATACCTCTTTACACTATCGTCCATGACCTTGAGTGACGTTGAGGAGTGACTCCTACCACAGACACAGAAAAATGTAGGAGCAGGAGGGGGACAAACACCTTTAAGTGCCAAAAGGGAATTGTAAAAATAAGAGAAGAGAGAAACCACTAAAGTTCTTACACCAATATCTACAAGTTCTCACCCAGAGTGAACTGAGTTGAATATTACAGCACAAGACCAGCAGACAAATTGTGAATAATTTTTTAAATTATTGATTTTAACCTCACTATACTGAATAAAACGTCAATTATATCACCAAATCTCTCAAGCCTCTGCTGTGTATTTTCTTCCTAGGGAAATACACTTAAGCAGACAGGGCACCTCCCACAAAAGATTCAAATTAGGAAGAATGGGTCAGTTTCAGGACTTTAACCAGATCCCTTTTGATTGCTTGGAACATTCCTTAAGAATCAGGGCTGCTCCCCAGCCCACAAGGGGCTTTTGTGTGAACTAGAAGAGGCATCCTCTCTGCAAGTGCACACGTCTTGGCGAATAGGCTGGCCCTTGTGCAACTTAGAAAAATGCATTGCTGTTTCCAGTTGGGCTCCGGGCAGCTGAAGAGATGAATGAAGTAGCACAGGTTATGTTTCTGCTTCATTTACTCTTTTGGCCCGGTTGTCTTGGGCCATGAACAACCTGCACAACTTGGGGAAATCACTCTTTAGTAGTTTAGTTACCAGATGTGTGACATGAACTTATATGTTTGACCTGAATGATTGAGTAGGAAAGATTAGACAACCGGGTAAAGAAGTAGTTAGTTACAGCTACCTTAGCAAGGCACTTGTTATTAATAGTTATTTGAACCCAGTATTGTCAGAGCTTACATCAGAAAAAGTTGATTTCTTCCTTGCTTATTATTTTTACTAAGAGTCAAGAAATCAGATATAAAATAACCCATAGTAGAATGAAGCATTAAAACACCATAATTAACATTGCCTTCCTCCATAGACAAACATAGTTGGAAACGATTAGTCATGATGGCCTCAAAAGCCACCCCCTTTATAGCAGGGCTGTAATCCCACTAATAGCAAACATGAAGTGACTTTTCCATTTCTTCCTGGGCCCACCCCTCTAGCAGGCACGTTTGTTTTACTGGTAACTGAATCAGCATCTTGGAAAATTGTCTGACAACAGAATATGAACTCACTGCAATATTGTCAATGACCTTGCTGTTTTACTCCCCACTATCCCCTCACTCCCACACCCTTCCCACGTAAGTACCAGTGTCCAAGTATCCCAGAAGCAGTGAATGGATGCTAGGAAACTTGCAGAGTCTGTGAGAAATAAGGCAGAAATCAGGCCCCCTTGTTCATTCCAGCAACACCTCAGCGATCACCTGGCAAGGTGTAGGCCTCTGCTGATAGGATCTGACCCCTGTGGAAGGGCTGTGAGTATTAGCAAGATTCTACCCCAGCCAAGGACACAGAGGAAGAGGCATGGCAAAGAGGAACACAGGAGGAGAGCTAGGAGGAAGGCATGTCCGGGTAGGTAAGAAAGGCTGCAGATGCCCGCTTTGGTCATCCAGCATGAGGATCTAGACCAGAATGGCGAGCCCAGCTTCACAGGAGCTTACATGTGACCCAGGCTGTAGAAAGTCACAGCAGCATCTTTTAATTTTACATGAACAAAATCCTGCCTTGAAATGACTTTAAATACCTCAAGATATCCTCTTAAAAGAACTTTCTCTTCAAGGAAAAAAAATACCCCTTCTTACCTCAATAATATACAGGACCACGTTCTTATAGAAGCAGTACAAGATGCACTTGGTCACCCGGTTGTAGCTCCAGGCTCCATGAACCAACAGAAGCTTCTCTAAGTAGGAAAACTGAAAAAGGAAAATTACAAAGCTCAGAAGAGCCCATCATTGAGGAATAAAAGTCACAAACAGAATGTCCTTATGAACAGAAGTCAGATAATGTAGGTAGAGGAAACCAGATTCCGCAGGAATCTCAGAAAACCATTCTCTGAAGACAGAGCTTTCAGGCCCAGTGAGAACAAGTAAAATCCTTCTTGAAACTACATTATTATTATTTTCCCTAAACATACTGCTGGACTCCTAATTGTTATTCTTATGAAATTCTATTTAAACAAATGCTTTTTTGTAATTGAATTTTAAGTTCCAGGATACATGTGCAGGATGTGAAGGTTTATTACATAAGTAAACATTTGCCATGATGGTTTGCTGCAGTTATCAACCCGTCACCTAGGTTTCAAGGTCTGGATGCATTAGTATTTAATCTGATGCCCTCCCTCCCCCTGCCTCCCCAACAGGCCCCAGTGTGTGGTGTTCCCCTCCCTGTGTCCATGTGTTCTCATTGTTCAGCTCCCACTTATAAGTGAGGACATGTGGTGTTTGGTTTTCTGTTCCTGTGTTAGTTTGCTGAGGATAATGGTTTCCAGCTCCATCCAAGTCTCTGCAAAGGATATGATCTCATTCCTTTTTATGGCTGCATAGTATTCCATGGTGTATGTGTATTGCATTTTCTTTATCCAGTCTAGCACGGATGGACATTTGGGTTGATTCCATGTCTTTGCTATTATGAATAGTGCTGCAATAGGGATTAATTATTAAACAAAGGTGAGCTACTAAACTGAAAGAAAAGTACAGTGGAAGTCAGATATCTCTAAGCAAACACAGATTTTTTCAGTGACAAAAAGAGCAAGGGACAGGGACACTCACACAATACAGTCTTGTTTAAAAGAAAAGTACACACAGGTGCACATACACTACTTCCACTAACAACTGCGTAGTTTAAAAAGTTACACACACATATAGACACACACGGATGTACACACATAGATACACAGAGACACATAACAGGCACAGATAAACAGACACATACAGGCAGACACACACACCTAGACACAGAGATAGTGGCACACAGGACAGAGATACACAGAGACACACATACACACAGACACACATACATAGATACTCATACAAATACACATGTACACATAGATATACTAAGACACACACACACTTTGCCTCCACTTCTTGACCCATTTTGTCTTCTCCTTTTTTGCCTCCAACCAGTACAGAGCCCCTCTGGCCAGAGTGCTATGCAGTCAGGGGCTGCTGGTGGGTCCCAAGCTGGGAGTGATGTGATGGCTCCTGTGGTTTGAGTTGGAGCCATAGATAATCCAGTAACATTCAGGAATCCTCACTGGGGGAGGGGGTCTCTGGACACCACTCAGATCGTATCTCCTCAGCCACCCCTTAGCCTGGCTTTGCCTTCTGTGTGCCGTTTCATAAAGGTCCCAAAAAGTGTAAACCTTGCGCTGGAGGGAGGGAAACGAGTTTCTCTGGTCTGGTGCGTGGTGTCCTGCTCTGGCATAAATGTGCCGTTAGCTGCAACCCTGTTTACATCACGTTTCTACACATTTGATATGCCTTACACTGGATTTGAGTTCCCTCTTAGTTCCCTTGCATGAAAACCTTAATGCCTCCTGTTCTAAGTCAGAGTGTCAGTAAGTCCACAAGCTTGAAACCTATTACACTACTAGGAGAGACAAGCAGGCTGTATTGAGAATGCCCAGGACATTAGAAATTCTTTTGCAGTTATATACTTCTTATTAATTTCAGATGACTTTGGAAATTAAACGTAACTCTCAGCTGGGCACAGTGGCTCACACCTGTAATCCCAGCACTTTGGGAGGCCAAGGCGGGCAGATCACCTAAGGCCAGGAGTTCAAGACCAGTCTGGCCAACGTGGTGAAACGCCGTCTCTGCTAAAAATCCAAAAAGTAGTCAGACGTGGTGTTGGGTGCCTGTAATCCCAGCTACTCAGGAGGCTGAGGCAGGACAATCACTTGAACCCAGGAGGCGGAGGCGGAGGCTGCAGTGAGCCGAGATCCAGCCACTGCACTCCAGCCTGGGCAACATGAGTGAAACTCTGAATAAAAAAAATAATAAATAAATAAATAAATAAATAAATTAATTAATTAAATGTAACTCTCAATAGAAAAGAAATGACCAGACTGAAAATACAATACTTAAACAAAAAATTTTCAGGAGGAAACTGCATAATAATCTCCATTAGCACTAAAGAAAGGACTCCATCCTAGGTGGAGTCCCAGCTCAGCATGTTCTTCCAGGAGGTGAGGGGAAGGCGCGGGGCTCACCACGCATTCGGAATCTAAATCATCGCTTCGAAGTGGCAGAAGTAGGTGCACATGGAAAAATAAAACTCCCCATAAAGGCTCATTAAGGATTCCAAAGGGGAATGGGAAATCATAAAATAACTAGCTAAACAAATAAAAAGGAAGTTTGTATTTGACCGGGACCCCCTGATGTTAAACTTCAATGGGCACAGAAAACATCTGCTTGAGTCATCCTGAATGCCTCAACTTGAGCACTACAGTGATTTGTTTTCAGGAAAAAAAAATGTATATTCTAAATCAAAATGCTGTCATCATGAGGTCGTTCTGAAAACATTAGGAGGGCAGGGGGCAGGAATGATTCTCCCGAGGAGAATGGAAAGCCAAGGGCTAGGGGAGCACCATGACTCAGCGACGGCAGCAAGGTTGCTCAGGACAAGGCAGCTGAAAAAGGACGGCGCTCGGTCTTGGGCTGCCCATGTGCATAAAAGCACAAGGTAGGCAGGGAAGAAATAGAACCAGAGCTTTGCCCACTTCGTAACTTTCCCAAGGTAAGTCTTTGAGCTAACATTTTTTTCTTTCTGAGTATAATAACCCTGAGGGTACTTCCTCCGAAGCGTAATAAAAAAAATGCATCCACATTAAAATGAACAGATAAAGCCCAAGGCGATAAACAACCAGAGATGTTTACCATTTCAAGAGAGGCAAAGAAATTCATCAAGCTGTGGCTTTTCTGGCATGGTGACTAAGGTAGAGGCAGCATGTTGGTTGGTGCAAAGGTTATGAGGTTAGCAGGAACCTGCCCTGAAGTAACAGCATCCCCACCTAATCGGCAATAGGACCATGGACAGGAGAAATGAGGGTGCACAGAAACATGTGGGCTGCATCAGTTCCTTTGGCAGAAGTGACTATGATGCTGGAGGGGCAAGAAAACCCCCAATGGCGTTTTAAAGCCTCGCTCCCTGCTCCACCCTTCTTTGACACTTTTAATTTGAAGAGAGCAATTGCTCTGGATAACACATCCTATTCCTATGCAGTTCCAGTAAAGCAGGTCATGGGATCTCCCTTCCCTAGACATTTTAAAGAAAAAGACAGACAAATATTTGCCTGGAACTCCTAGGAAACCTCTTAAGATCCCTTCCAGCCATATGATGTTATAACTCAAGTATTTAATAATGCTGGGGTGTATAACATCTATAGTTGCTGACAGACTACAGGAAGTGCGAGTCCCACAGGCCTCAAAGCATTTGACTCAGGAAAGTAAACAGGCAGGTGTGCGTGGGGCCGGCCCCCAAGTTCACACTCAGGTCCGTTGTTTTCTGACCCCAAGATGCTTGCTTGCTTGGACCTGATGTAAGTCACCTGATACGAAGGAACCCCGGTTTTCCCACCTATAAAGTCAAGATTCCTTCTCTTACCTACTTCAGAAATTATCTTGAGGATTTATTTGAAATCAGCAAAGGAAGAAGATTGATTGCATGCACTTTTCAGAGCCAGGAGGATTTTGTAATTTCTCCCTGCATCTGCAGAACTGTGAGCTGAGAAGAAACCTGAGAGGTGATCTAACACAGAGCCCCCGCTTTGGAGAGGTGGAGCCCCAGAACTGCAAAGGACTGGCCTGAAGCCCTGGGGCTATAGGAAGCTCCTTCACATTTTATATGCAGCACCTGATTTCAGGTTGAAGGGGTGTGTAGCCATTTTTCCTTGTGTTCATGTGATTAAGGTGAACACATTCTTCAAACACCTCAACACCGTAGAAACACAAGGGAATTCCTGCTACCCAGCCGATGAGCAGGCATCTATTCATGATGTATCGCAATCTGGAGACAGAGGGACAGGCCCTGCATTCGCTGTGATGTCTAGGTTTTCTGGGTGATCCAGCAGGCCAAATCATCTAGATATGTAACCGCCCAAGGGATTCACCTTGCCCACTGCCTAGACAGAGCCGATTCATCAAGACAGAAGAACTGCAGTAGAGAAAGAGTAATTCATGCAGAGCCGGCTGTGAGGGAGACTGGAGTTTTATTATTACTCAAATCAGTCTCCCCAAGCATTCGGGGAGCAGAGTTTTTAAGGATAACTTGGTGGGTGGGGGTAGCCAGTGAGCCGGGAATGCTGATCAGTCAGGGAAGAAATCATAGGGAGTCAAAGCTGTCTTCTTGAGCTCAGTCAGTTCCTGGGTGGTGGGGAGCCACAAGATTAGATGAGCCAGTTTATTGATCTGAGTGGTGCCAGCTGATCCATCAAGTGCAGGGTCTGCAAAATATCTCAAGCACTGATCTTAGGAGCAGTTTAAGAAGGTCAGAATCTCGTAGCCTCCAGCTGCATGACTCCTAAGCCATATTTCAAATCCTGTGGCTAATGTTAGTCTAGTCCCCAGGCAAGGAGGTCTGCTTTGGGAAAGGGCTGTTACCATCTTTGTTTAAACTATAAAGTATAAACTGAGTTTCTCTCAAAGTTAGTTCAGCTTACGCCCAGAAATGAACAAGGACAGCTTGGAGGTTAGAAGCAAGATGGAGTCGGTTAAGTTAGATCTCTTCCACTGTCTCAGTCATAATTTTGCAAAGGTGGTCTCAGATATGCACCCTACGGGTTAGGAAATTGGCTATCTTCCTTCACCTTTGGGCTATCATTACGGAGTGGACCTTTCTTTCATCCTCAGGCCACCAGTGCAGTACAGCACATCAGGAGCCCTGGCATGCGAGGCTCGGATCAGCCTCCGCTGGACTGAACTTGGCCTAACTGCAGGAGGCTGATTGCTACTGACCATGGGGTCATTATGGCCCAAACCCAGCTCGTGCTCTTGGCAATTCACCTCACAGGGGTGGTCCTGGACAGCACCCCTCTCATAACTACAGAGAAGGCGACAGCTGTAATCACTGCTTCTCCCTGACCTTAAGCACCTAGCCAGGGGGTGTCCCAACACCTTTGGGAGGAGTGAGACTGGAACAGGATTATAGAGAAAGGCTGTCATGAGCACAGCTGTGCTTCAGCAGGCAATGCAGCAGAAAAAGCCATGCAGCAGATGCAGAAGCTGAAGGTGAGAGGTTATTATTAGCAAGATCAGAGACCTATCTGCCAGGAGCAGCACCTTGCCTGGATCACAGAGCAGCTTGGCCAACCCCATAGCTGGCCAGAGAAATCCAATCAGCAGGACAGGGCCTCCAAACTGCACAAGATCACAACTACAGAGAATTCCAAATATCCCCGGGGTTTCATCTAGACAGCAACCTCAAGAGGGGTGGCAGAGGTTTGGAGATGCACTGAAGGTTAAACGCCAGGTCCTCATGCCCAGCTATCATCTCTCAACAGGACAGGGCAGCTGGACGCCCAAGCTGCTGACCTGTGCGATGGCGTAATCCGAGTTGTTGGTGGCCTGCATGCCTTCATTCCCACTGATTCCCACACCCACGTGGGCTGTCTGGATCATCCCGACATCGTTGGCGCCGTCTCCGATGGCGAGGGTGATGGCCTTCACCCGCTTCTTCACCACATCCACTATCTCAGACTTCTGCAGAGGAGACACTCTGTGAGAAAAGAGAGGGAAATCAGAGCTATGCATGTCTTTCCAGAGGAAACAGCTGTAATCTACATTCCGCTGCATTAAAAGGACAGTTACTGGACGATCTCCAAATTCAATACATCCATTTTATGCTCATGTGCAAAGAAGCTTTCAGAAAACAGTAGCTTGTGGCTTTCAAGTATTTGCCAACTTCTCAGATGAAATATACAACAGAAAACTAACTTAAAACACAGCCTATTTGTAATCACTCTGCTAAGTGGGAGGCATCTGCACAAACTCCTCGGGGGTACGTGTGCCCTGCTGAATGATAAAGGAAGTCAGTCTAGTTACAGGGGTCTTCGGAAATGTCTTTCCAATAAATCAGAAAACCAGCACAGACCTCCTTTTGCTTTATGGTACATCATATACAACCTAGGGCTGGCAAGGGAATTTTCTGTAAAATCTGCTTTTACAGAAGGGAAAGGAAATTGGCAGGGCATGATAAAGTGCAGAAAGAAGGCTGGGGTAAGAGCAAAGAAAAAAGACTTCCCTACATCCGCCCCAGAAAATGAAGCTGTGTTTGAAGGGCAGCCAAGGCAGAGGATCTAGGATGGGAGTCAGGGAGTGGAAGTCTCCCCTTGTTGAGCCATGCAGAAGCACAGCCCTAAAGGGGGCAAGAAGATCAGCCCCTGCATAGGAAGGGTTCTTTCCACAAGGAATCCAAGATGGCGGCCAAGCTTTCCTAAGTCCTCAAGTCGTCTGGGAAGAGGAGCCAGTATAAATCTGTGGGGTCTAAAGCAGAGGGGTATTCATGATAATGAAGTGCTTATTCAGAGTGTAGACCACAAAACACAGCAACACGAAGCAAAGACTAGCATCTCAGGACTGAGTGACTCTACATTCTGAATTGGTAAGCTGATGCTTGATTTGCGGGATTTACAGGTAAGCTTTTGGATCACTTAAACAGCACTTGCCCCCCCACCACCCCCCCCCCACGCCACCACACACACAGAATAAACACAAAGTAAAAGATTTTTCTGGATTTCACAGAGGTCTACTGGCCACGCCCACATATGGACTTCACGCATCAGCTAGAATGGACACTCAAAGATTTGCCCAGTAAGAACTTCAACAGCTCCTAGATGGTCTCTACCCACAAAGATACCTGTTCCAAACAGAAAACTGAAGTGCTACCTGACATCTCATTCTACCAACTTGAGAAAGAAATGCATTTGGCGAGACAGCAAACTGAATGTAGAACCATGTAAAAAGCCTTTGCTCAGTGACAAAGATAAAAATTAGAAAGTTAGAAAAACATAATGAAAGGACTTTAGGAGCTGGGTTGCACAATCTGATATCCCTTTTAGCATTTTCACAAGGGTTTGCAATGGCAGCAATTCGATGCCTCCTGCAGTAGGTGCGACCACTGCAAATTATTATTACTTTTTTGTTGTTACTGAGCATACTTAAGAGTACTAACTCTGTCATTTGGGGCTAAATAGGAAAAGTCTAACTTCTCTTACAAATATATGGAAGGCTGAAATATAAAAACAGCTATCACATCTTTCCTCCCAAAGCTCTGTTGCTGCTTGCTAAATATTCTCAGGTTCTTCAACCATTATTTAATAGGCATGCTTCAGAACTTAAAAGATAGCCTCCAAGTATAATCTTTTAGGCAACTGAGAGCAGAATAGAACAGAATCACCATCTCCCTTGTAGCAGATGCCAGATTCACTTTAATGTGGCCTAAAAGAAAGTTACTGGAGCTTTAACACTGCTTATCAATGAAGCCTCTAGTCAACTCCACATAAGCAATTTTAACATGAAGGGATATTAAGCTGTATCTATTCCCGCCTAGTTTGTGCAACTGCTACTTAAAGCCAAGGGCTGATCTTTTTGGCAGAGGCAGCCCACAACTGTAACTGGCTACACAAAAGTGATTTCCCATTTTGTTTTGAAACTCCACAGAACCACAGATCAAATATAGTTGGAGAAAACAACCTGGGAGCCACAGTTAAAGGCCTGAGTATGACATTTTCCTGTGCACCACACATTGACCATTTAAGCAGGGAAAGGAAGTCCATGAGCCCCTGCTTTTCATGAGTGGGATCAGGAAAATGAGAACCAGCCACCTCATGGGATGGTTGTGATGTATTAATGTGAAACCACTGTGTTGACTAGCAAGTATAAAACAATTGCATCTCACACTCCACCTAGCATAGGATTATGTGAAACATCTTAACTGTTGGAAAAACAAAACAAGACTGGACACCTCTGAGTAATGCATGCCATCAGACTTGTGGTTCCCAACTGGGTGTGCAGGTGCCCTGGGGATGCTGCAGCAGAAATTTTTTTAATTTTTGAGGGAAATACAGCAATGTCTCTCAGGTAACAGTGCAAAATACTAGCTGGAAGTAGCTCACAGTTTCAACAATAAATCACACTGCATCCCTTTTCATGATATGTCGTTGTGAAGCTGAGCTCTCGTGGCGGTGATGATAAAAAGCAAATGCCTTGTGAAAATCAATGTGGAATAGGAAATGAGCAAGGCAGCAGCTATGCTTACCCTAAAGTTCGAGAAGTCGTGCAGCGCTCAACAGGTAAACAGGTACATCACCACATGCCATTGTCAACAGTAATGATTATTTAATGATGGAGGAAATAAGGATTATTTCTTTCAATGTATGTCTTTCAATGACATTATTGTTTCAAATGTCTGCTAAGTTGTTGGGTCATAAATACTTCTTAAATTATTTGACTTTACCTACTTAATAATTAGAAACTTAAGTTTTCCTTTTGGTCTAAGGGCTGTGCAAAGGAATTGCTGAGACACTGAGGACATAGTGGATCTACAGTCTGGATTCTTATGATTATATTAATCACTCTTTAATTAAAATCATTCATTCACTGAGGTGGAACCTCACTAAGGAGGGCATCACTTAATCTGCAACTCCTCTTATGCATCCATGAAAGTATCACAAGAGAGCGTAAAACAGGAACTTAAACAGGACTCAGCAGGCCTGAGGCTGCGACTCCTCCTTAAGTCCGTATGTCACCCAACTGATCAAGAAAGCTGGCCTCTCCATCAGCAAATTCAAGGTGGTCTGGAGAGAAAGGAAGCCCACAGGCAAAGGCTTGGCCACTTCACACTGCAGGGGTCGGAAAATCTCAGGAGTGGAACAGGGAAGGACCTAAACAGACCCGGGTTTTTTTTGAGGTTAAAGTTGTTGGTTTTTTGTTAGGGAGGTTAGCGATAGGCCAACCAATGGGAAATGAGGAGCAAGTCAAATAGACTCACTGGGCTTGCCACTCTGGGATTTGGATCTCAAGTAAGTCAAGTGAGGATTCCAATGGCTTAAAGTACAATCTATGAACATCCAACAGCTGCCTTTCCCAAAAAGCAAAAATAAGGAGAAAACCTGACCAGGGTATATAAAGCAAGTCATACGGTAGTATTTTAGGAGCATGAAATTCTCATCAAGGATTTATTATGCCCTCAGCTGTAATGCCTTGAGAAAACATAATTCTAGCACACACTAGGGGTTCAAAACAGATGTCCAACAGCTAATTTCTACAGAAATGAAGAGGCACCACTCCACTTTAGCCATATGCAGTATTTTAGTATACCAAGTTGCCAGGAAGCACAAGCCGGCTGTTTCTTAATCTTAACTTGTGACCTGGAGTCACATGCCACACTTAATAAGTATTCCCAACATATAATAATTCAACCTATAAAATAAAAACCCCAGACCACAGCTGACCCAAGCTAGGTGCTTGGGGGCACTTCTTTAATCCTATTTTGGTGTATTATGAATAGAAATATAAACCAAAAGCATTCAGTTGACTGGAGAAGTATTCTATCTGCTTTTTTGGATAACATAATAGATTCTAAAATGAAAAATAAGTTTTTCTTTTGAGACTTACAAAAATCAGTTCCTGGAGTATCTCATTTTATGGGACACATGTCCCTGAAATTTAAAAACTAGCTCTCTAACATTATTTCAAATATAACACTTTAGTGAAACCTTGGCTAACTGCTTTTATAGAACTAGTGATCATACACTAATTTATCTGATATACATAAACCCTGCTCTCAGAGTTTCTGATTCTGATCTTGCAATATCATCTGAACAAACCTAAGCAGATTCTTTACCTCCTCCGATCTTACCTGCCTGGTTGTCAAAGAGGGGCTGGATCTCGATTGTAGATTTGTACACTGAGCTCACTTGAGCCAGAGGGGTTACAAGGAACTCCACCCAGGAACCCCCTAGAGACCCAAAACACATATTAATTAACCAGACTCACAAAATTCTTTCACTATCTGGATTTGAAAACATCTTTATTACATGTAGCAGTCCTTATGACTAAAAGGAAGTTTGAAAACCACTGTCCTAGATCAATGAGTTTCCAACTTTAAGTGAGCATCGGAATCACCCAGAGGGATTGTCAAGGTACAGCCTCTGATCAGAAAGCCTGGGCTGGGCCTGTGAATGCGCATTTCTAACAAGCTCCCGGCTGCTGCCGCTGCTGCTTGTCTCTGGACCATACTCAAGTCACCAGCACTGGCCTAGACAATACCACAGGTTCTTTCTAGTAAAAATGTTTTCTAGCTAAGCTTGAATTTCCATAGCATAAGATACATACAAAATTTCCATAGTGACAGTTAACAATTACAAGAAACACTGAATCTTATCCCCTTTCTTAAAGTTTTGCATATGTAGGTTTTTCTTCTTTGCTTTTAAACAGAAACCCAGAAAGTATACATTTTATTGGTATTTCATTAAAAATATTCTTTTAATCTGAGTGTCTCAAATAAGAAGGTGGTAGGGGCAAAAACTAACCGAAATACAACAAACAAGACTTCATAAGTTGTTTTTCGTAATGACACAGAAACCAACTTATCAATACCAAGCCTAAAATACATAATATTTAACTATAAAATAAAGTGCTCCAATATATCAGAAGATTTCAATTGGAAAAGTGTTCATTTTCCTGTTGAAAATACTATCCTATGAAAAGGATTTTCTTATTGAAATAGTTATTTAAATAAAATATAACATCTTCTTTTTCATGGCAGTCAGTCAAAAACTTCAGTACCTTTAAAAATCTCATAGCTTAATTAGATAGATATACAAACATGTGATATTTGAGTCTAAAACCTAAAATTAATTAACCAATCCTATTTATTAAATGCCTCCATGGCTGACCACATCCCTTCTGTCTACTGTGTTCTTTCTTCAGATGCATTTAGTACATTTGTGCAGGACACAACCCAGGTGTCCAGGCCTTCTGGACAGTCGTTCCCTTCTGGAACATCTGTGCTCGGATCCAAACTGTGCGGCTCCCTCAAAACTTAATCTCATGGCCCAGATTTTGGTATATTTCATTGTAGCCCTAAATTCTAAAAGTAGATAATTTGGGCAGCTTGGAATGGCCCCTGGAGCACAGTGGCAGATATAGAATTTGGGGTTGGGAGGGCAGTAGTGGGAAAGGATAGTGGCAGGAATGGGGGTGCATTCAGGCGAGCCCAATAGGTACCTGTGGGTTAGCTTATCTAGAGGCACAAAGAAAGAAAATTTCAACTCAATCACTCAATAGTTCTAAGGTAGATGTAAGTGCTCCCTCACTATAAAAGCTCCCTCACTATAAAAACTTACACATGGCGAGGAGCTGTAACTGAGGAAGCTGCAAGAGAGTGTGCCTTAGAGAGATGCAACAACGAAGGAAAGGTGAGAGCAGTTCAGTTTTTATTTCAAAGAATGCAGTGTTTGACCAAGAGGCAGCCTCACACGGGTTGGGTCTAAGGTGGGACGTATTTTGAAAAGCAAGGTGAGTGCTGACAGAGAAAAGAACAATCCATGAGCGAATGGGTTTCAGAGTGACTACGTGCACCCCATTGTTAAATGAGCCACAGGCACAGACTTTCAGGGATGAGCGTTTCTAGCTTTGGTTGTTTTTGCAGCAAAAAATTCTGGAAATCCTATGCCAGTATTTCCTCTAGAGATGAAGGTGTTATGGAGCCCCTCCCATGGAAGCATTTCTCGGAATCCTTAGACATTTCAAAACCACATCTGAATATAAAAGAGGGGATTTCCTACAAAATGTCATGTGACTTGAGTTAACATTCTTTCCCTAACGCCATCAGCTGCATCATGAAAGAGCAGACAGGTGACATAAAAGTTTTAAGAATTCACTTTTTAAAAAATTATTTAATCAGTACATTTCTTTCCATAAACTATTCAACATAATTGGTTATATCCATCATGGGGGAATATGTTTTTCTCTCTAACCTTCACAAGGACAGAGATGACATCTTTCATTTCTTTTCTATCCCTCCCTTTCCTCACCCTTCTCCAAATGTCTAATTTAAGATTTGTACAGCAGACATTCAATAAATGGTGACTAACTACCAAAATCATGATTCCAAGACTAGCTACATCTCCACCCATAATTAAGCGTAATAGAAAAAAAATACAGTTCTATTTAAACAAAACTATCTTAACTTTCATATAAACAACAGACCTAGGAGCAGGCTATTAGTGTGCAATTCTGAAAGCCTATGCACAGATGGAGAGGATGAAAGGAATACATAAATGACTGGCCACCTCTGTGAGATCTAAATGCATCACTCATGGAAAGCAGATAAAAACAGCCCACTTGTCCTGTGATTCAAGAGACAGATATCGTTTGCAAACTTCCTGACCAACATGCTAGTGGTCTTGATTCTATTTTCTACAAATATCCTTAAAAACATTCTAGGCCTTCTGGGACAGCTTTTTTTTTTTTTTTTTTTTTTTTTTTTGAGACAGAGTCTCACTCCATCACCCAGGCTGGAGTGCAATGGAATGATCTTGGCTCACTGCAACCTCCGCCTCCCAGGTTCAAGCAATTCTCTTGCCTCAGCCTCCCAAGTAGCTGGGATTACATGCATGCACCTCCACACCCAGCTAATTTTTTTCTTTTGTATTTTTCATAGAGACAGAGTTTTGCCATGTTGGCCAGCCTGGTCTTGAACTTCTGACCTCAGGTGATCTGCCTGCCTCGACCTCCCAAAGTGCTGAGATTACAGGCATGAGCCATCACACCCAGCCTTGTGACAGCTTTTAATGACACATGGCTGACAACAATCTTTGTCCTTACAAAGGGCTCTCCTGGGAAAAGCTAACACCTAAGCTTAGTTTTTTTTCCTGGCCTCTTTAGATCATAATGCTTCAACTATTAAAAGCTCACCCCCAGCCCCTGCATAACACCTCACAAAAGCACTTTGAAGGCTTAATAAATACCAGCTTACCAAACATTTACAAGTAGTCTTGGGGGTGCTGCATGATACAAATCATCCAAACAAATTATTTATATTTAATAAATAATATATAAGGTATATATATACCTTATCATATGTGTGTGTATATATATATACTGTGCTAATATATATTATATTTTATATACATATACTTTTTTTGAGACAGGATCTCTTTATGTTGCCCATGCTGGTCTTGAACTCCTGGTCTCAAGCGATCCTCCTGCCGCAGCCTCCCAAGCAGCTGAGGCCGCAGGTGTGCATCACTTTGCCCAGCTTAGCTCAACCACCTATTTGCTCTTTGTGCAATGATTTAAGCCTAGAATCAGATTCCACCACAATAGAATGCCTCTGTAATATCTTTGCACTACAAATGACTATTTAACACAGTGCCCAGTAGAATAAGGATTTAACTTGCTGACTGACTAATATGACAAACGTATATCTCATTATTGGTGATAAAACATGCATGACTTAATGACAAACCCTGATGCTATCCAGCCACTCTTGAGAAATACAGGTCAACACGCTCCAGGATTTGTTGAACAAGTAATGTAAGAGCCCAGATGTACTGACGGTATTATTTTGGTATGGCTGAAACATGTATGTTTTGATAACATCCACCATATTTTGGCAATACCAGGCATAGGTCCTTTCCTTTCAGTGACACTGCAGTTGAACAGGTGCTAAGGTCACAACACCAGGAGTCTCTGCAAAGGTGAGGGGAGAGGCAGGCAGCTGTGCAAGCATCTTGCTTTTTATCTTAGTGCTGCAATTCCATGGTAATTTTAGGAATTTAACACATATATTTGAGCATATATTAAATTGTGGAAAGCTTGAAATTTCCACAGCATTGTATAAGTACAAAAATTATTTAACAGGGTATAAGTATCATTTCTCAAAAATACTAAGGTTAAATGTTTCCATATTCCAAAAGAGATTCTTTATAACTCAACTTTCAAAAACAGAATTTGAGCTCTTCTTCACACTCCACAAATAAAGAGAGAGCTTTTAGAAAATATTATGTATGTTAATATGCTACTGCAAAAATACATTAACATTTACTAATAATTTCCTTGTTGTGTAAAGGGTTCATTTAACTCATTTTCAATATTTAATAATGATAGGAAGTTTAATTTTAATTATTTCAGTGTTATATGCACCTCCCAACATATACACACAAAATATAGTCTTGGTTCTTCTACAAGTCCTTTTAAAAGACCTTGAAAAAAATCTTGCTAGTGTCTTAAAGTGTACTGCACCTCTTACGTTGGATGTTAAGTCCTCAAATATAAAGAATTTTAAGACTAGCTATTCTGTTTACCTGAAGATACCTTTATATGGCGTCTAAATTCTGATTTCAGGCTCTAATAATGTCCTTGAAAACCAAAAATTTTTAAAGGGAAGAAGCCATAACAATTGATTTAGACATGAGGCATATATATGGCCATCTCTCTCTACATATATTTTACTGATCTTAATTACTACATGATGACTGGTGACTGCTTCAACATCCTATGAGCATTGTCTTCTTTGAAACAGGAGTTACAGGTCAGCTATCCTACAGTTGTTAGTGGTGAGGGCAACTTGATATTCTTTATTAACTGAACAAAACCCTTAAAACTCGATCCTGTACTCAAGCCATAAATGCTGCCTCTGCAGCTGAGACTTGCAGAGGGGCTCTCAGAAAAACAGGAGGACACCCTGTCTGCTCAAGATCGGTTTACTCCACAACTGAGAAAGGGCTCACTTTGAAATAAGGATACTTTGCTTGGGGGTTCAGAATTTATGCATCGGTACTTGCGTCTGTGACAATTTTATCGCATGTCCACAAAAACAGAACAATTAAAGTGGCATTCTGACAGGAGTCTAGCTTCTGAAAACCTGACATCTCTACTAAATGATGTGGAATGTATTAAGATCTGGGCAAGCGCATTTCATGTAAAAGTTGAATGGGTTGTATGTTGTGAATTATATACAGTTTTATAGTCACTGAAATCAACCGGTTATAGTCTGTCTCTTCCTGTACTAGACTGAAAAGAATGGAGCAGTCTAGGAAGGCTGGGATTTAAATAAAAGATATTAGATCCTTCTGTTCCCATGCTGAAACAGGGATTAGAATAACACATCTAAATACCTTAATGTTTTTAGCACAAAAAGCATTAATTTGATACTCTGCTTCCTTGAAATGCTTTATTAAGGCCCCCAAGACCCTCTCAGGAGCGTCTGGCTTCCTCAAAGTTAACATACATGTATTGTTCCCCACTGCACATTTTACTAGTATTTCAAAATAGTGTGCCTGACCTCTGCTGTGGGGAAGGTGGGAATAGGAATCAGAACTGAGAGGAAAGCTGAGAAGTGTTTGAGTTTTGACATTTCAGAGCAAACTTGTGACTCCTGCAGGACCAGGCATCGTGAGCTCATGCACGGCTGAAAATTAATGACAACGGAGATGCTTAATATATTGGATGGTTTTAATTAGGTCTGCCCTTCACCCATCACCTGTGCACAGAACAAAAGGTCATCTGATTACCAATCCCATATCTACACCAAACTGTAACTTCCTGCACTCTGGAAATAGTGGGTAGGCTATCCAGTTCTGACCTTCACCTCAGTCCTAATCCAAGCAATTAAGAGACCCCAGAGCCACAGGGACAGCAATGGCCAACACCATGTGTGCTTCACACTCAGGCAGGTAGTTTGCAGATTAATACTTCTCTCTTCCTCTTTCTCTTTCTTTCCCTTTCTCTCTCTCCCCCCTTCCTTCTTTCCTTTCTCTCTCTCTTTCTCTCTCTTTCTTAATTTGGAAGTGGAATTTCTTGGGTGGGAAAGGAGGTAATTTACACAAAGCTCTTTCTTCCAAGTAGCATACACACCTTCTAAAACCCAAAGACTGTTTAACAAGCCACTTATTCTAGATCTCAATAGCGGGAAATAATAATGCTTTACTTTTTCATGGTTATATGTGTAAAACTGTTTTAAAAAAACAGGAGTGGCATTCTACCATTCCAAAAATGGAACATGAAAATGACTTCCAGTGATTCTATATGTCTGCTAATGTCCTGGTGAATGGCAGAGAAAAGATGGACAAACGGATTTCAGATAGATGTGGTGGTGGTGGCAGGTGGATGAATATAGGTACATGGGGGCCTGCCTATAGAGAGGACATGAGCCCCAAGACATTGTGTATCCATAGAAGAAACACATTTTTATAACTAATTATAATAGTAGTTGACATAATCTAATGTAAAGGTTATTTTGCAACTTGCTTTTCTAATTGATTAATACCATCATAATAGCACTTCCTTGGACAAAGTCTGATCTGAAATGTGGTTGGCTATGTGCTTCTGTCTCCATAATTAGGCTACAAGCTACTTGGTGTTAGGGACTTGTTTTACTCCTCTTTAGACCTTTAGCATCATACACAATAGGTAATAAACAAATATTTGCTTAATTGCCCATGTTTTTGCAATGGTTTTTTGGACTTAAAACACAGCTCTTTTTTCTTTCTCCTCCTCAATTGTTTCCATTTCATGTTCAAGGACACACTTATCATATGAAATGAGTAATGATCATCTTGCAGTTTTTGATCAAAAGGGGTGAAAGATTAAGGCTATGAGTTTATTACATCCCCTGTTCAGAGAAGCCAAATCCCAACTTTTGACTCCACCTGGTAGCTATTCAGTAAAGAGTAAATTAACATGAGGACAGCCATGTTTATCAGGTTATCTCCTTTTGGAGGTTAACAGCGGCAACCTAAACATCAAGTATGGCATTGTGGTGGCTTCATGGGTGGGGTCAATACCTCCAACAACTGCCTCACTCACCTGGGCTGGAAGCTGCAGCATGGAGCCAGCAGGACCCTGTGCCTTCAGAATAGAGCTAGTCACTGAGCTCAGAAAGGAGATAAAGGCCAGAGTGAGCCAGACACACAACCGCTTGGATTGGGAGGGTACCAAAGGGGGAGTTGAGAATGAAGAAAGTTCCAGCCATGAAACTTGAGAAATGAGGGGTTTGGGGGTCAGGAACACATATAACAGGGGCTCTCAGCTGACTGAGAAAAGGATTTTACTTCTCATGCTGTAAAGGTCTTGAAATATCATGCCTGTGCCTTACAATTACACTCACTTCTCAGCCGAATATGGGAGTCATCAACCCAACTGCGACTGAGTGTGATAGAGAGAGAGGTTAAGGCAGTGGAGTAGCAAGCAGCTTGGCAGAGAACACCCTCTCTTCTAAGTGCGTGTGCACACACACACACACACACACATAGTATATCGTTACACTGAACTGGCACATGGATAGAATTTAAAGTAGTGACAACTTTGGTGTTGTAATCTTTTCCCCAAACCATGTAACAAAATGACCTGCCATCCACTTAGATGAGAGTGACTCAGCTTCCAGGGCACAGTGGCAAGTGCATGCTAGGTCTTGGGGCTCTGGTGATAGAAAGGTGAGGAAAGCACGCGTGTGTCCACTGGAGCCACAGGGAGCGATGCTTTTTCTTTTTCTCCTATGGCCATCCTCCCACAGTGGCACAAGGTCCAGACCAGATTCTGTGACCAATGGTCCGAGGTGATAAAAACCAACATGTGAGGAAAAGCCTTCATGATCCTGTGGGCTATTTGGAAAATTCCTCCCTCCTCCCACCACTCCATCTCCTGGAGAGTAGGTGTATTGTCTCCCTAGAGGTTTAGTGTATGCTGTGGGGAAGGAGAAAAGAACTCAGGCGTTGGCAATGTGTGAACATATTAATGAGGGGGAAGGGTGGGGAACGAATGCGCTGAGCGAGCAGGATTCAAGGGATGGGCTGTACAGGGGCTCCCTGCCTCTTCTTAACCAGACAGACCCCCTCCCTGGTCCTCTTTTTCCTCCTCTGTGAAGAGACCAATGAGGAGGATTTCTAATGTTCCTTAAGCCAAAGCCTATGCTTTTAAGTTGAAAACAAAAATATGGGATTCAGTAATAATAATGATAGGGCAGCAGCAAGTGCTGATTTCGCACATACCATTTGATCATCAGTAACTGGGCTAAGTGCTTTCCACGCATTGGCTGCTGTAATCCTAAGCACAACTCTGCAAAATTGGTGCTGTTATTCTCTCCATTTTACAGGTAAGAAAACCCAGCTCAGAAAGATTGACACAGTATGCCCGAGGTCACAACCTAAGAAGTGGCCAAGACAAGACTAAACACAAGCAAGTGTCTTCTTGCTCCAGGCTCCACACCCTCACCTACTCTGTTACATTCTTTGATTTCTTCAAAACACACATTTGGAAGCTTTCACATAATTCTGCTGAGCAACTGGGCCGTGGGTGGGAGACAGAACACAGGTACCACAGCTTCCGCTCCCAACACTGTAAGAATCCAGCAGAGGAGCCACAACCACACCACTTCACTCCAGCCTGGACGAAAGAGCAAGACCCTGTCTCAAAAAAAAAAAAAAAAAGAATCCAACAGTTACCTAATCCTCCAATTCACAGTTTTCTGCTTATAATATGGGGACACCGCCATTGCCATCTGCTTCACAAGATAACCATGAAAACTGAATAAATGATAAAGATGGATGAAAGGTGAAAAAACCTATCCTGGCTGCTACACCTGGAGTAGGAGCTGCTGCTGCATGCTATCCTGGAGCACCATCCCCCTGCCTCTGTGAGGACACCATCCAGGCTGAGAGCTAGTGCTGGCTGGGAGTGCCCTTCCCCTCTCAGCTCCTGGCTTTAAGGCCTCTCAAGGTCTTCAGGACAGAGGTGGGAAGAGAAACAAGAAGAGAAGAAAGTCTTGGCTGACGTGTCCCTGTTTGAATTTATCTCCCTTCCCTTCAAGTCCACTGTCTATGTGTCAAATTCTATATGGGTTTTTTTTTGAGACGGAGTCTTGCACTGTCATCTGGGGTTGGAGTGCAGTGGTGTGATCTTGGCTGCCTGCAACGTCCACCTCCCAGGTTCAATCGATTCTCCTACATCAGCCTCCCAAGTAGCTGGGATTATACATGCCCGCCACCATGCCCAGCTAATTTTTTTGTATTTTTAGTAGAGAGGGGGTTTCACCATGTTGGCCAGGCTGGTCTCAAACTCCTGACCTCATGATTTGCCCACCTCAGCCTCTCAAAGTTCTGGGATTACAGGCATGAGCCACCGTGCTCGGCCTGGGGTTTCTTTATATATCAACCTATTATATTATATTACATATTCACACTGAAATTATTACTCACTGAATATGAATAACACAAATAAGATAGTAAGTTCCTACAGGGAAAAGATTATGTCTTCATTTTTAAATTGCCCCTACATTCAACGGAATGCTTTGCACACAATGGCTACTGCCAATTTTGCCTATGTGAATCAGATTGCAGCAATAATGGGAACAGTTTTGATAAGCAGTAGGAGGGCCACAGGACACAGGTGGGTTTGGAGATGGAATGAATCAGGAATGAAGAAGGAACTTTGGCAGGGTCAGTATGCCTCCCTTTCTGTAGCTTTGTCCCTGGGTGAAGCTGGGAGCTACAGTGGAGAGGGCCTGCCTCTGGAGATGGAATTGTGATAGTACCATCATTTGTCTTGATTGATTAGAACTGTACATTTAGCTCATCCTGACCTGATGCCCTAAAACAGTATCAGCTGTTCACAAGAATAAATTACAAACATACGAATACATGCAACTGTCACAAACATTGTCTCCTCAAGCAACGTCAAACAGCAAAGTGATTCTTTTCCATTCATGTGCTGGAAGTAGTTTTTCCTCTTACTCTTACCTCCAACAACAACAAAAAACCCAAAAAACAAATCAGCAAATAATCCAATCAAGGTGCAATTAGTATAAGTGGAAGTCTAGAAACAGTGTTTCACTAAGAAAATTGACAGAAATTGACATAAAACAAATTTTGAAAAAGCCTATGTAAAATAACACCAGACAACTAACAAGTGAAAACCACAACCATCCACTCCAACAGAAGACCATTTTTCTTAGCCTAAAATCCTAATTTATATAATTATTCTCTATCATAATAATCTCTTTTGCTATATTAAAAAACAGAAGTACTTTATCTCTGAAATGATTCTTAAATATTATAAAAATTAAATTAAAAATGGGATTTTTTGCTTTATATTTGACTAGAACAATTTTTTAAAATGAGCTAACACCGCTCTGTTTTTTGACATCAGAAAATTCTCCAAGATTCCCTTAGTTACATGGGGCTATATTTGTGCTATAAACTTCTAACTAGAGTTCTTCTAAATTGAAGGTATTAATTTCCAGTCAAAGGAAAATGTTTCAACATTATTGAAAAGAGAGTTCTGACTGGCTTCCAAGAAGCTATTTGTAGCTCATATCAGTAAAACCTCAAAAAAAAAAAATCGCATACTTTTTTTTCCATTTGAAATGTTTAAAAGGTGAAGTTTTCCTAAAATGCAAACAGAAAGCCATTCCTTCCTGTAACGACAAATGCTGAGTCTGGGCAGCCGGCATAGTGGCATGCCTGTTCTGTTCAGGGCCAGGGCCAGTTCTTCTTCGTCAGTTTTCTATGTACATTTTAGGATTCTTTATCAGCATGTAATGAAGCTCAGGTCATTAGCAGAACAAAGAAAAATATATTAAACAACCCAGCTATGCAGATGGCAACAAACTAGTCAACCCACATAAATACACCAGGCAATTAAGGGAGATGTGCAGAGATAGCCTATGGCCTCCAAGGCGTTACGCAGTGATAAGGCAGGGCTATCCATCTTGACTGAACAAACGGTATCTGCAGTGCCTAACGGCTCATTGACTAAGTCACACAGACACCATGCTAAGTGCAAGGGGTGCAATTTCTTTGAAAGTCCTTCAGTGAATGAAGGAGAGGAAAAGCATACATGGATGTTGGCTTAATACACTTTAACAGTAATTAGGAAATAGCCATTTTCTATTTCTTCCAGATGCTATGTTAGTGATAGAAACAGACTTTTCCTTAACTCTGGGGCCTGCGTTTTGACATAAGTGGTGTTTGTCTTTTGGGTGCACCCCAAGCACTCAGGATACTGAGACCCTTCCACAATCAGGGAGCAACACATGGCTGTCATGTGGCTGCCAGTTCCAAAGACAAAATATCTCCAAGAGAGAAGCTGGGAAAGGACATCATTGAGCTAAGAAGCCATCCCTCCAGGTTGAGGATAATTTTCCCTCTGTGATCTCCCTGCAATACCAGCACCATGTTTGCTGTTTTCCCAGCATAGTCCTGGTGGTGTTCATCTCAATAGCTGGCATGGAGCTGGCACTCAGAGAGTATTTGTGGACTGACCTACCGCACTAGAATGAGATTCTCAAATTTGCAGCTATGCATTGCTGTACTCTGTAGAAAGGCAAACAGAGGACTGTATGCAACAAAGGGAGAGGAAGCCAATAACCACACAAGCCAGAGCGTCTGGCCAACATTCACATGAGTCAGCACTGAGCTGGGGGCTGGAAATAAGCTAGAAATGGCTGTATAAAGGATTGTGGGTCGAGCCAAAGGGCAGCTGTGGAACCACACCCTGTAAGTGTTAGCACTTGGTTTGTGAGCTCCCACTTCCCGGATTTCCCTGCCACTTTTGCTCATACAGTGTTCTTGGACGTGCTGTTGGCCACCAGGCTACCCTTTCTCTGATCAGCAGCGCCCCATGCCCACTCCTCCACTCTGCCCTGTCTGTCCCTTCTCTTGGCACAAGAGCTTAAGGGCCCAGCTTGCTGAAGGAGACCGAGGGAGGGCACAAAGACCCCACAGCAGCCAGCGCTGGTGGTGCCCCCCAGTACTCCACAGTGCAAGAGGGGAGAGATGACCTATTTATAAATCACCCCAGTAAAACCTGCTATCACACATAGCTCAAAGACACGCTAGAGGGTGGCAAGGAAAGGGAAGGAGGAGAGTTAGAAAGAAAAATCAGAGGAGCCTTGCCCTGAGCTAGTTCTGAGACCATGGATAGAGATGCTGAACTAAAACCAGCCAAAAAGAATCTGAGGTAGAGGAAACACTTTGAACAGAGTTTGGCAACAACAAAGTAGACTAATATCACATAATGCTTATGTGTGGGCAAACAAGCACTGGCCAGGAGTTAGAGGCTGCATTGAGCTATGCTTGCACTGCCACTGCACTCCAGCCTGGGCAACATAGTGAGACCCTGTCTCTAAACACAAAACAAAACAAAAAACCATGCAGTCAGCATATGTCCATTCTTCCAGAACAATACATTTTACATCTACTGCACTCTCAAGGACCTGCTGATGAACAATAAGCTAGTGACTGTGCCTATGACCTTGTCTATTTATCCATTTACTTTCTTAAGATAAATTTCTTTCTTTTTTTTCAGAGTCTCACTCTGTCGCCCCGGCTGGAGTGCAAGAGTATGATCTCGGCTCACTGCAACCTTTTCCCGGGTTCAAGCGATTCTCCTGCCTCAGTCCCCCAAGTAGCTAGGACTACAGGGGTATGCCACCACTCCTGGCTAATTTTTGTATTTGTAGTAGAGATGGGGTTTCACCACATTGGCCAGGCTGGTCTTGAACTCCTGACCCCAAGTGATCCACCTGCCTCAGCCTCCCGAAGTGTTGGGATTACAGGCGTGAGCCACTGCGCCTGGCCTCTTAGGATAAATTTCTTAGGATAAATAGCCAAGCTGCCTATTCAGAAGTTATGCACATGTAAAATTTGTATTCAGATTGCCTTTACGTAGGACTGCACCAATATATATGCCCATTGGTACTCTCTTGCCTTGGCCCCCCAAAGTGCTGGGATTATAGGCATGAGCCTGAGCCACTGTGCCTGGCCCTCACTACCTATTGTTGAATGAAGAAAGCAAATTACAACAGTACACGTAACAGTAGCATCCAATTTTAGACACATACTAGATGTATACATACATATACATGCAGTGATAAAACTTCAGGAGAAAATGATTTAGAAAGTGGTTATCTCTGATTTGGGTGTATTATTCCTTCATTTTATTATTTCTGCTTATATTATTAACATAGATTACTTTTGTAAAGAAAAAGCAAATAAGTTATTAAAAGCAGTGTAAATACAATTCAGGCCAGGCTTAATCCCAGCACTTTGGGAGGCCAAACTCCTGGGCTTAGGTGGGAGGACTGCTTGAGCCCAAAAGTTCAAGACCAGCCTGGGCAACATAGCGAGACCTTGTCTCTACAGAAAATTTTAAAATTAGCCAGTCATGGCAATCACGCCTGTAGTCCCAGCTACTCAGGAGGCTGAGGCAGGAAGATCGCTTGAATCCAGGAGTTGGAGGCTGTAGTGAGCCATGACTGTGCTCGGGTGATAGAGTGAGACCCTGTCTCTTAAAAGAAAAAAAAATCATAAAATAAAATAAATAAATAATAAAAACACTTCAAGGTTTCACTCAATTTTAAAGCTTTACAATCCTTGCCTAAAATGAAGCCATTTCAGTGATGCTACATTACAGGATATTTCCATCATAACTTTCCAAGTACAAGGTATTTGAAGAAGTCCTAGAAAACAAGATGTTGCCATTTCTTTGCACTGTGCCTTTACCCTTCTGGTAGGCACTGTAGCAGAGCTGCTTATTACAGTCTGGGGCCCTCAGGGCATCTGTTGACGAGGTTGAATTCAAAGTAAGCCAAGGTATGGGAGGTTGACTTAGTTACTTTCAAATAACCACAGAGAATCTCCTTGTAGGAGAATCAGGAAACCCACCAAATAAATCACATTTGCACAGTAAGCTAAATTTTATCAGGAAAATGGAGCTTTTGTCCACCAAAGACGCAGTACTAGCTGTGAGCCCACGGGCGCCTTTGTCATTGAGACTCCCAAGCTCTCTGTGAGTGCTCTGATACACTGTGGTGCTGAAAACCTCCAAGATTTCAGTTCCCTGTTGGACCCTGGACAGAGAACAACACAATCTCAGGCTTTAAACATGGCTATGTTGTCACTAGGAATACTTTAGTGAACTACACGTGTAATTCCAAAAAGATTCCTTTTTTTTTTCCCCAAGCAACTCTTTCAAAACAGAAGTTTTGTATACATCGAGCAGAAGAGGACTTTTCTTCGCAAGCTTTTTGATGCCCATGTGCTCGTATAAACTCGATGCCAAAACTACACATATGAGGTACCTGCCGACAGGGCCCCCAGGCTCCCCACACTTCCTCCCTATTACTGGAACACACTCATTTCTAGAATCCCATCACGTGGTGGGGCGAAGGGCCCTGCTGAACTGAAAGTATCTACGGTGCTCCCAAAGCTGGGCTGAAACCACCGGCCTTCGGAATGGGAGCCGGGCAGAGCAACATGGAAGCAGGTGGGAGTCAGAATCGGGGGGATAGCTGTGGGGAGGGAGGCTGCTTCAGTGTGGGGGTGGGCACAGTGTATGGCCCAAAACTAGAGACAGATGAGAGTAACCAAGGAAGAGGGGGCACTAGCAGAGGGAAACTGCCCACAGTTAGGGCCCGTGTTCCTGGCTTTGGTAACTACACACAGATGTGTACTATTTTATTTGGTCTCCTGAAAACTCTAGCGACTACTCTGAGAAATGCAGCCTGCTCTGCCTGGGTCAGGAGCTGCTTTCTGGACACCGGCCTGTCTTCCACACGAACTGGACCAGTGACCCTTCAGGGAGGACTTCACCGAAGTTCTCCTTACTGTGGCTTTAGAGGGACACAAATAAGTAAATAAATATTGAGACAATCAGATGATTTCTAAAGATGAACTTGGTTGTTTCGTATACAAACAGGAGCTCACATACATGCAAATAATTCTTCTTCTTCGTTTTTTTGTTTTGTTTTGTTTTATTTTTTAGAGATGTGGTCTTGCTATGTTGCCCAGGCTGGACTCAAACTCCTGGGCTGAAGCAATCCCCCATCTCAGCCTCCTTAGTAGCCAGGACTAGTGGTACGTGCCACCATGCCTGGCCAAATAATTATTTTAAAAACAAACTTAGATGTCAACAATTAGAAACTAAAGAGACAATGTGACAGTTATCATCAGGCATTCATTCTACTCTATAGTGACCAGAATGTCCCATTTTAACTTCCTTTCCAGTTTTAAAGAAAATCGGAAGGAACATGAGTTGGCTGCTGCCTGTCTACACCGCAGCCTTGGTCTGCTCCTAAGGCAAAGCTGTCCCACTCTTTCTTAAATTCCTCCCATCTCCCTTGCCCCAGGAACAGCCTAAGCTCTGTAGCTGCTCACTCAAGGGGCTTTCTGACTGCCCCCACCGAGCACAGCCTCCTGCTCTGACATCGATGTGACAATGCCTGCGTCATGATTCCCTGCTGCCTACACCCCCTCCTCACCCACATTCCCACTGCTCTGCTTTTCTCCAGACAAAACCTGCACCGCAAACTCCCTCGCATCTGGACTCCCCTCGGCTAACTTCAGCTCTATCCTGAAGACCACCTCCAGTGTCGTCTCCTTCCTGGCGGGGTCCTCTGATGCTTCTCCCATCTCCGTCAGGCCCTCCTTCCCCTCTGCCAGCTTCACTTCCCCCTCCTCCACTCTCTTCCCATCAGAATACTCAGCCCATGCCCAGAAATCACCATTTCCAGGCCTGTCTTCCTGGAAGGACTGATTCCTGCAAGGCAAAGGTCTGTTCTCTTCAGCGTCTGCAGTGCCTCCCAAATGCCTGGCCCACCTGCTGCCAAGAGTTAGAAAGTGTCAACTTTTATTTCACGGAAGACAGAAAAACAACCTAAGGATCCACAATTTCATGTTAGTCAAAACTATTCTGCTATCTGCTATCTCAATTGGCATTATAATTTCACTGTCCTCTCACTACAAGCCATGGTGAAGATACACATTTCACCTTTCAAACTTCATAGAAATGTCCACTGATTTTAATCTCCACATACTGTTATTGAAATGCCTATGTGTATATACATGGTGGTGATGGGGGGCACTCTTTACAAATACTAAAAACACTAAAATAAAAAGGAGAAAAAACATTTTGAAAATGCTATAACCCAAACCAGAATAACTGCTAATACAAACAGGCCCCTTCCCAAATGTAAGCGGGTCACAAGTAATGGCTCACCTCAAAGTGGCCGCAGCAACGCTGTTTACTCTCCATTTGGGGCTTAAAAGCATTTTAGTTGATGAACAGGCCCTGAAGCAGAAACATCTAAACCCATGCTAATGCCCAGCAGAGCAGTAACTTCTTTTGATTAATTTACCAGCACTGAAAGCACAAGAAAGAGATCAAACCGCGTTCTGCACTAAACAATTAAACAAGCAGCCATGCCTCCAGTATGGTGTGCATCAGGATGAAAGCTGGATGGGGTCGAATGAAAAAGCAACAAATATCTTACATTGATTAATGCTTATAAAATTTTTTCCCCTTAAATGTCATAACATGTCATTCAATGCTCGAACCAAAGAGCTTATGTAACATTTAAAACAAAAAAAGAGTTCCAAAAGCCTAAGAAAATTCAGATGTGTCCTGAGGAGAAAAATCAGGTCATTCCAAACACTTCTAAAGAACATTCAAAATACTTTGGCAGAACTCTGACCAATTTGCTGAAATATCTTCAACATGAAACAGCATGGGGGGAAAATCCTATCATCTCCTTTCATCGAAAAATAATTTTTCTGCTATGAGTGAAATTGTTCTTAATTTAAACTAGCCCATTCACAATGTCCAATACTATCTATATACACTGTTTTGGAAACCCAGAGCTTAAACAAATATGATGATACAAATATATCTCTACTTAGTAATTTTTTTCTCAAATTGGAATTTAAACCATATGGTGATTCCTAAATCAGAATGAACTACAAATGTCAGTAGTTAACCCTTATAGATTTTCTGAATGATTGGCTGAATGAATTTTTAAAACCCAATAAATGTCTTTGTAATAAAACAAAACTTATATACTTGTAGAAAAATATCTGAACAAAGCCAGCTAAAAACGTCAGCTTAGGAAAGTCAAACTTGGTGCATTTTACATCCCTGAAGAACATTTCTTGGTGATTCAATGTTATTTTAGTCAATGTGTTGGCATGTCTTTGGGCTACTCACTGCAACTCTGTCCTAATCTGTAAAATGGAGCTGATCCATACTTCGGGGGATTTTAAAGGTTAAATGAAATTGTTATCTATAAAGCACACATCCTGACATCCTGAAATTCTTCCCTAAACAAACCCCTCCCCACGCATTGTATCCCCAGGCGATGCTAAACCCCTTGCAGAGCTTTTGGTCTACTTAAGCACACCTCCACGTGTCTAACCCCTCCTCCATGACTGAGCTTACCTCCTCCACTCCAGCACGTACTGTTCTGTAAGAGTTATCAGGTATGTGGAAGACATGAAACAAACATGAATAAAAGGACCCACAGGATACCTTTTGCTACATCTGCCAAACAGTTCGAATTGAAGCCCTTTATATTTTCAAACTCTTATGTGGAAAGACCACAAAAATTTGGAAATGCGACACTGAAAACTGACTTCGCTACTAACCTTCCCACAATACTGTCCTCCTTATGAAGATGAGAGCCCAAGGAGCACGGCAGATGAGGCCTGTTTGCCTGCTCAAGCGCTATGGCTCTAACAGGCACGAATCCTCTATTATTGCTACTGAATAAATAAATGAATTGTAGCTAAGGTAGACCTAAGTTTCTACTGATCCCTCCTTCCAGTTTTCTTATATGTATACAGGAAAACAAAAATTTGCTATTTTAGATCTTTCCAAAGACAGTGACACCCTCCCTTAGAAAATAATTTAAAAACCCTTGGATGAGGTCAGGAAACACAAGGAAAAGGAGCTCTCACTTTGCAGAGGAAGCAGAGGCTCGCAGGACAGAACGACCATAGGCTCTGTGTTTCCCCACAATGGAGGGAAACATATCCTATCTAAGAAGCTTTGATCATGGGGATATTTTGAAAGCACGGGCCAAAAAGATGGAGATAATCTAGCACAATGTTTAACATAAAATTAAGAATGACCTATGAATTATTCCACACTGATTTTGACTCTGGTTATAAAAATTGGCTTTCACTCTGACCTGTTTATATGGTTCAGTCTTCAATGCACTTTTCTCTAAACACTTCAGCTGGAATCAACAGATTTTTAGCTCTTGAGACGAGGCATTGTTATTGCTGCTGGGGCATGAATAACGTCCGTCCAGGGAAGAGAAGGTGCTGGTCCAGTTTCCTTTCAGTGTGGGATCACCAGCTTTCCCACAAATGAGCAGGAAACATAATAGACTCAACCTGGGTTAATTGTTTTCTAACTCTAAGGCACTTTCACAAACATTTGAACCTACTATACAGAGTAACCTCAAATATTTACCTACAAAAACACCATTACATACATAGAAAGGACCATAGAAGTCCTTCCAGGTTCAAATTCAAATTCTTTAATCAGCTTCATTCTGCAGAACTTTATTTGCCTACGTGCTAGACTCACTGTTCTCATTTCCCAAGTTAAATATCCAATGAGATGCACAGCCCTTGCCATCCATCTGTCCTGCTTTAAGTTCATGTCAGTGTGCAAATTCCTACAGACATCCTGAGAGCCATGAACAAGACTTCCTTCTTTTCACGACAGTTTTGGGCGTTTGGGAGTTTTTTGGGGGTGGGAGGTCTTGAGTTGGCTTTATCATCAGTTCATTGAGAACATCATTGAGAATGCCAATTTCAGCTGGAGAAACAACTCATATGAATGAATTGCCTTTACCTGAATTTTAAAGACTTTTCTGAAAAGTATTATTTGCAACAGGGTATCTCTTGGGTATTAAAGAACATTTTTACAGAGGCTCACTGCAGATCAACGAGAAGTCAGCCCACAGCTCCAGGCATCTGGAGTGTGGTGAAAACAATATAAACCATCAACATGATAGGATGTAGTCAGCCTCCTGCCTAGCATGCTGTCACATTCAGAGTGATGTATCCTGACACAGTTTCTCTTTTACTAAAATACCATTTTTGGCACTGCATTCCTAAGAAACTGAACTAGAGGATGATTCAAAAAACTCAGGTGGTTTTTGTTTGCTTGCTTAAAAGTAATCTTACTTAAAGAATAAGCAATCAAAGTTCTATTGGCACTAGAAACCAATCCTGGCCTTTATTTCATTCATACAAGTGTCATCTCAATCCTTAAATACTACCCTCTCTTTGTATCAATTATATCTTGGCTGAATTCATATTTACTCCACTTGTAAACACTCCAGCCCATCCCCAGGCATCAGGAAAATTCCAAGTTTGATCATAGAGTGGATACATAGTCCAGAGCCTAGATAGATGTAGACCAAGCAAATGAAATATTCCAAGAGTCCTCATGAGATAATACTGAAAATGATGCCAAATCAAATGTCCATGTCCAGTCGTTGGAACCAAAACAGGACATAAATAAAGATAAGTTCATTGTAAGTTGACTTTACAGTCTAGGCTGGCTCCTGTCACTGAGCACGCCACTTCCCATTGACATCAAACGCTCACGGCATAACGCATGGGGCTTGTCATGTCAGCTTCAGGAAAACAAGGAGCAAGCTGAGTTCTATGCCATGAGCATCCCAGCCACATCCTCCAAATTCCTAAGCCGAGTCAGAAAAGCCAGGCCCCAAGCAGTGGCTCACACCTGTAATCCCAGCACTTTGGGAGGCCGAGGCGGGTGGATCACTTGAGGTCAGGAGTTTGAGACTAGCCTGGCCAACATGGCAAAACCCCGTCTCTACTAAAAATACAAAAAAATTAGCTGGGCGTGGTGGCAGGCGCCTGTAGTCCCAGCTACTCGGGAGGCTGAGGCAGGAGAACGGCTTGAACCTGGGAGGCGGAGGTTGTAGTGAGCCAAGATCGTGCCACTGCACTCCAGCCTGGGTGACAGAGCAAGAGACTCCATCTCAAAAAAGAAAAGAAAAGAAAAGAAAAGAAAAACTGGGCCCCTGCTCTAGTGCTCCCCTATGTACTCCCCAAGTCATGTCATGCAACCGTAAAAACATTCTCGGAAAATACATTTAAGGTCCTTTCCTCTGAAAATACAACCTGTTTCTAATTAGCAACGATAAGAAACTCCAGGATTTCTCTCTAGATGAATGCATTTTAATTTCACAACATGCCTTGTAGCAAGTTTTTATTACAAACACTGTCTGAGGCAGGTTCCTATCACCCCAGTGGCTATTGAGAATTCTAACCAACATCTCATAATAAGGACACAGCTGGGCTAGGATCAATAACACCATCTTGTTGCTCCCAATCTAATTATCAGCCCACTATTACTTCCTAATTATTTTTATCACTGATGTAACTGAAATGATCTCATTGTGAAAATACAGAACAATCTGTATAAAAATTAAGTTCTCCCCTCCCCCCGCTTTAGTTCTTTTGAAAGGACTAAGGGAAGTACAGTCTAAATGAAATGTGCAAACACACGCACAGTTTTCCACTTCTCAGTACCATCTCTGACCCACAGACTTGCATTTGTGGGCAGCTGAGCCACCGGCTCACAGAGAAGGGCGCACATACACACGGGGGGGTGGTGAGTGAGCCAGATGCCATGTGCAGGCATGAGAGCTGATTTCAACAGCAGTGAAGCAGCCGCCAAAGAAGAAAAGATATGCTGCATACAGTTTCAGGATTAAGTAAGTAAAATCCACTGCACTCAAATTGGTTTATAAACAGAAAAATGAAAAAGAATCGGGCAATTGCCAAAGAAAATTCACGCTGAATTTCAATATCTTCCCTCCTACAAGATCAAGGCACACACTGGAAGATGTTAGTTTGTAAAAATTACTAAACCAGACCCACAATATAAGATAGTTAATGACTTTAAACATTTATACTGTTCCAAATGACAGTACATACTTCTTTCATAAGTAGTAGATGTAGTCATAGGATTAACTGACATCCTACAACATTTTGGAGCTTTTCTTATAATCTGAAATACTCTTTCCCAGAGCAGTCCACTAATGAATGAATCAATGGCTAACAGAGAGTATGCATGTTCCTCACCGCCTTCACCTCATTCATCAATATAGGTTTTCATAACTAATTAGTGTTCTTGCTAAGGTTAAGAAAAACCCAGCAACAGGTGAAGTGGATGAAACTGATCAACTTGTTGAAAGCTCTAGAACAAATCACTGTGGTACTCTTTCAGTGGTGCTGCTGGACATCTCAGGACACATTTGTCTAAAATTCCTTCAGGCGTTTCCTGTCCCACACATGCCAGAACCTGATGATACATCTACCATTACAAATGAAACATGTGGCCGGCAAATCCACATGCAGAAGTGCAGCTCTGCTCCCATACTTTAGTGACCACCCACAAAGGGAACAATTCTCACGATTTCCTCGCTTTCCCTTTACTGGACCATCCACCACTCTGATAGAATTCTGCTGGAATTCTCCATGCTAACATCTCCCCTTGTATTAGTTTCCTGGGGCTTCTGTAACCAAGCACCATAAACTGGATGGCTTCCACACCAGAAATTTATTGTCACAGCTCTGAAAGCCGGAGGTGTAGATCAAGGTGTTGGCAGAGTAGATTCCTTCCGAAGTCTGAGAAAAAGAATCTGCTCCAGACATCTTTCGGCCTCTGGTGGTTGCTGCCATCTTCAGCATTCCATGGCGTTCCTTGGCAGAAGCACCGCACAACCTCTGCCTTCATCTTCACATGACGTTCTTCCTGTGTGCCTGTGTCCAAATTTCTCCTCTTTATAAGGACACACCAGTCCTTATAAAGGTGTATTAAGATGAGGTCCACCCTAATGACCTCATCTCAATACATCTGAAATGACCCTAGTTTTAAACAAGCACACATGCTGAGGTACTAGCAGGTTAGGACTTTGACATAAGAATTTTGGGTGGACACAATACAACTTATAACACCCATATACCTTTCACCTCTTCAATAAATCCCCTCCCTTCCAAATTGGAAGCTGGCTCCCCCAGAAAGGGCTGTGCTATAAGAGCACCTCCACCAAACTTGTCTGTTCTATACATCCTCCCACATCCCATATGCTGCAGACTCGAAGGGGTGACAAACTTCTCTTACACTGCCAAAGGTCATTTCCCAAAACACTGCCTCCTCCATCTTTTCTAGAATCTCTGGTCATGAGTTCCCAGCTCATATCCTTCAGAACAAGTGATCCAAAAGATTTACCATAAAAAAAAAAAAAAAAGACAGAGAGAGAGAGAGAGAGAGAGAAAAGTGGAGTGGGGTGTGTGGGGGGGATTAATTAAGTCAAATATGTTTAGGAATGACTGAATACTATTTATCTCCCTTCTGAAAATTAAATATAAACAATGACAATAACTGAGACACTTTAATAATGAGGGGGAGGAAGTAGAAAACATTTTGAGAAGCACACAGCCTCAGTTTCTAGTTAGCCCCTAACTTGTAGTAAAACTTCTTTATGATGAAACACATGTGTACCCCTCATTTGTTGTCTGAGACACATGGTCTTTGCCTACATTAAGAATTTACTTTATATATGTATATTATCTCATATGCCTCATATGCACATGAAAGCATTTGACTTTTACAGTCATGTGCCCCATAACGATGTTTTTGCATATACGACAGTGGCCCTATAAGATTATAATGCTGTATTTTTACTGTGCCTTTTCTATGTTTAGGATGTGTTTAGTACACAAATACTTACCACTGTGTTGCAATCACCTACAGTATTCAGAACAGTAACGTCGTATAGGTTTGTAGCCTAGGAGCAACAGGCTATTCCGTACAGTCCAGGTGTGTAGTAGGCTATCTCATCTAGGTTTGTGTGTGTATACTCTATGATGTTCACACAATGATAAAATTTCCTGATGACGAATATCTCAGAATGTATCCCCATCATTAAGTAATGCATGACTGTACCTGTAAGGAAGGTTGCTGGAATTTTCATCAATGAACATTTGCACCTCCTGAAACTCTACAACGAAGATGTCAAAGGGAGGAGTGGCACCTGCCCTCAGGCATTATAGACTCAGGCTCAGGTATCTCAAGAGCCTTGTAAAGCTCATGCATCTAAAAGGGGCAGATACTGCCCCAGAACCCAATTTTCTGGGTCCAGCACCCTTCCCCCAAATTCTGTGATGTTGAGCCCTCATTTTATGAAGGTTGTATTTTAGTTGAAGATCAATAATTCAACTTTCCTAAGTTTTCAATTAAGATCTAAAATGTTGGCCAGATATGGTGGCTCATGCCTGTAATCTCAGCACCTTGGGAGGCTGAGGTGGGAGGATTGCTTGTCCAGATCAGCCTGGACAACACAGTGAGACCCTGCCTCTACAAAAAAAAAAAAATTAAAAATTAGCTGGGTGTGGTGGTGTGCACCTATATACCCAGCTATTCAGGAGGCTGAGGTGGGAGGGTTACTTGAGTCCAGGGAGCTTGCGGCTGCAGTGAGCCATAATCATGCCATTGCACTCCAGCCTGGGCAGCAGAAGCAAGTCCCTGTCTAAACACAAACAAACAAACAACTAAAATGTTGCTCGAGTGTATGTTTCAGCTATTTTAGGGACACTTCTAGTCTGGGTACTGTGCTCATTAACAGCTAATTACTATCCAGGGAGATCATCAGTCCCGATGTCTTAAGAAATGAGGCAACAATCTGACTTCCAACTTAGCTTCCTTAGAATGCAGGACTTATATCCAGTGCTCATCAAAATTTCCATGATTTTTGAGAATTGGTGATGATTTTTAAATTAATTTTCTCAAACAAAGATTTTTCCGATAAAACTAAATTTGAGAACTCATACACTTTCTGAAAAATACTTATTTTCTTATATAGTTCTTAAAAACAATATGTGTTTTTAAATGTCTGGTTACTCACATAGCTTTATCTATAATACCGTAGCCATATTTAAGAAAGTTGAATAAGCAGAGTCTTATCTAAAGACGCCTGTTTAAATGATTGGCTTCCATTGGCTCACCAAGTTGTCTGAGGTTCTCACATTTTTCAGCCTTTTGAGATAACACGCTAAAGGTCTCTACAACATAATTATGTGAAATTTCCTATCACTCATCAACACTTCAAATTAGCTGACACACTAACCCAGTCAGACCTTAATATTCATTTACATGCTAGGAACTCCTATCAGCTGAACATCCTTTAAGCTCCAACCAATTTAAGCAACTCAACCAATATGGAATTCATTATCTTTCATGCCAAATCTGCATTTCCACCTATAATGCCTCTCGTGGGTAGTGACAATGGCCATGCACTCCATAAAGCCATGAAGCTACATAGAATCATCTTCAACTTCTCCTTCCTCCTTGTTGGATCTTCACTCTGTTGATTTTCCCTCCTAAATTTCATTTCAGTCCACTATTTCCACTTACCCTGCTACATTGTCTCAGTTCAGACATTCATCATTCCTATTGTCATAGAGTCCCACACTCCCTGTTGTTATGTCGCTTTCTGCCAATGACTGACTTACCATCTCCTTATCTCTTAAATGGTGAAATTTTGGAAATGAAAAATAAACACTGCTGTTCATCCTTCTGCAAAAATAATCATGTCTTTCTCTTTTTTTTTTTTTTTTTTTTTGAGATAGAGCCTTGCTCTGTCCCCCAGGCTGGAGTGCAGTGGCGCGATCTCAGCTCACTGCAAGCTCCACCTCCCAGGTTCACACCATTCTCCTGCCTCAGCCTCCTGAGAAGCTGGGACTACAGGCGCCCACCACCACGCCTAGCTAATTTTTTGTATTTGGAATAGAGATGGGGTTTCACCGTGTTAGCCAGGATGGTCTCGATCTCCTGACCTTGTGATCCGCCCGTCTCGGCCTCCCAAAGTGCTGGGATTACAGGCGTGAGCCACTGCGCCCAGCCCTCTTTCTCTATTGAGGATGAGCAATGTAGGTGGCCCCTAATGGTCAGCCCACTGTGGTGGACTGTTGTGCAATGTATACATCCAAATATTGCTTGCCTTTGGCATTTTGGTGCACATTTCTTCTGTTCACTTAGGTTCTGCATTTTACATTATTTTTTCCCAGCCGCATTAGTGTGCACTTTCCAAGCTGTATCTCATTTTGTTATTTCCTGCCTATACTTTTAATCTCCTGAAGGAGATTATAATATTTCTGTCCTTCCAGATTTTTGATATCTCCCCTGATTCAGGATCATCTGCCAACTTCATCAACATGAAGTTTAAGTTTATTCCTCTTTAAATAAAATAGGATACATCATACCAATCCTCATAACATAAAGCTACAAGTGGTTACCTTGCCATTTATGTTAAGCTTTTTTTTTTAACTGTCTTTCCACTATTTTCCATCTGTGTGGCTCTTCTCCAAGACAAGTTGAATTTATTTTGCAATAGAACAGGCTAAAAAATTTCTGCTAAAAAAATAAAAAGAGAAAACCTCCCTCTACGTTATATTAAGACTGCTCTCTTCTCTCAGTTGACTTAGTTATACATAAGCAAGTTAAAAATCCATAGGTTTCCTTCTTTAAACCTTTCTGCTCCACACTGTTTCTATTCTGCATAGTTTAATGATAGAGAACAGAATTTCCCATTCAAAGAAGAGCATGAGGTGAACAAGCTCCACTTATGATATGTGAGATACACTCAAAGCCCCTGATGAGCAGACAGCAGCTCCTCCTGGAACCTCCCTAAAGGCATCGCCAAGGTGCCCTGGGCCCTGCATTAGCATGTGCCATGGAAGGCTGACACTCCAGTTCAGGCTCTGGATGAGGTCGGGTTGTGCAGACACCTGAGAGAAACACCAGAAGATTTTCTTCCCCTGCTCAAATCCCATGATGTGACTCTCCTGCTCCAGAAGTTCAAGAGAAATGGAAGAGCTTTTACTCAACTTCACTGTCAATATATCTCTCAGTCGTGCCTCCCACCCACACTCATCAACAAGATAAGTTGGACTTACGTAACAAGGATAAGTCAACAAGGATAAGTTGACTTCTGATAAGTTCAGTTACCATCACAATAATGTACACTATTTTTAGACCTTGAAATTTTTATGTTTTCATGTTTCTTTTAGAAAATAAATCAATATATCCTGTGCCAAACAGCTGTAACAGATGCAGATTTACCTTGCCACCTCATTAGAAGAAACAAACAACTATAAATCTTGTATTACATCCAAAGAGTTGTCAGCCTGAAATAAAAGCTGGCAAGGATCCAAGTGGCATGTGCCCTTGATTCCAGTCATTTTGCCTGCAGTTCTTACATATGTAAATTGAGAAACTGTGAGCAGAAGCAAGCCAGCTGAAAACAGAAGTGTTTAGGGTACACAGACACATTGGTGGGGCCCTCCAGGCCCAGGCCCCTTCCCACCCTTCACCACAAATCCCTCTCTGCTTCCTGTGTTCCCTGCTCGCTCTCCACCTCCTTCCAATCACAGCATATTTTTATCATTTACCACTGGCTGGGTTCACATGCCCAGCCATGGTGGTAGACCTCAGAATGAGAAGACAGGATGTAACAAATTCCAAACCCCTGCAACCTTCTTAAAGATTAAACTACAGCAACTACCAGAAGAAGTGTGTGTGGGGGGGGGGGAGGGGGGCACAAAAAGAAAAAAAGCAGAGACAATGTGATCAAAACAAGAGACAAGAGGGAGTGTCATACCTGCGTTCCAGAATTTGCCATCAGTTTATGTTACAGTTACTCTACCTGTGAGAAGCCTCGGGGACATTGGAGTTTAAATCCCAGCCCCCTACTTCCTCTGGACAGCATCTTGCACTCTAAAAGGAGTTTCTCACTGGTAAGATGAAAATAGCACTTCTGCAACCAGGAAGTGATGCAGAGATTAACCAAGCCAGTGTGCCTAATGTACGACGTGGTCTTCAGACTCAGAAAGAGGCATCATATTTACACAAAATGTTGTCTGATCTCTGTAACTGAAAGTGATAGTTTGGCTGGGTGTGATGGCTCACGCCTGTAATCCCAGCACTTTGGGAGGCCGAGAGGGGCGGATCACGAGGTCAGGAGATCGAGACCATCCTGGCTAACACGGTGAAACCCCGTCTCTGCTAAAAATACAAAAAAATTAGTCAGGCATGGTGGCCAGGCGCCTGAAGTCCCAGCTACTCGGGAGGCTGAGGCAGAAGAATGGCATGAACCTGGGAGGTGGAGCTTGCAGTGAACTGAGATCGCGCTACTGCACTCCAGCCTGGGCGACAGAGTGAGACTCCGTCTCAAAAACATAAAATAAAATAATAAAATAAAAATAAAAAAGCCAGGCGTGGTGGCATTTGCCTGTGGTCCCAGCTACTCCGAAGGCTGAGGTAGGAGGACTGCTTGAGCCTGGAGGTCAAGGCTCCAGTGAGCCATGATCGTGCCACTGCACTCCAGCCTGGGTGATAGAGTGTGACCCTGTCTCACACACACAGAAAAGAAAGCGATAATTTGCAAAAACAGAGTCTGTTTTGGATTCTTCTATAAGGGTGGCTTTTACCTGTGAACTCAACTGGGGATCAGTAAACCAACAGGTGACTCTTCTTGGTCAAACCAGACAGGGTTTGCTTAACTTGAAATTTTACAGAATCACCAAGAGAATTAACTGGGGTCCAGGTGGCTAAAGTAAAAAATAAAATAAAATAACACAAACATAAGGTGCAAACACCTGAGTGTGAGTTTTGGCACAGGCTTGAGCTATTCACTTAACTTCCTGAGGACCCGTTTCCTCATATTTAAAAGTGAAGTAAATATAGCTGCCTTCTTCCCTTGCAGAGTTATGATCTCTGAATGGGACAACACACAGGAAACACGGCCTAGAACTCCTGTCTTCACTTCTTGCCTCTTGTTCACTCTTAAAATTCCTTCTGCCCCACCCTCCACTAAAACTCCCCTCCTAACACACAAATCCCACAAGCACTGTGGGTTATCATCTCTGCACTCAGGTTATGTCTGTGACAGTTGACTTCAACACATGCACCCTCCCTAACACTGAAAACTCTCCCACTTTAGTCTTTCCCCAATCGATAGTTATCTCATTTTTCTTTGCTGGTTTGTTGTACTCTACAATCGCTGGTTATATTCCCTGGGGTGCCTGTCTGGACATATTCACACAGGACACCCCCTCACACACTCCCATGATCAACTAGAGCCTGCCTGTTGATAATCATCTAGACCAGGGATCAAAAAACTATTGCCCCGGGTCAAATCCAGCCCACCGTCCATTTCTTTAAATAAAGTTTTATTGGAACAGAGCCACATTCATTCATTCATGTACTGTCCATGGGAACTTCTGTGCAGCAATAGCAGAATTCAGATGCAGAGAGACCACAAAGCCTAAAATATTTATGAAATGATCCTTTACAGAAAAGTTACACTGACCCTTCATTCAGACTTGTGTCCAAAGTCACACTTGTATTTATGTCTCCAACGAATCATGCCAACCTCTATACCTCACAGGCCCCTCTGAAACGTCTGACAGTCAACAGTTTACAAATAATCATTTCAACCTCATGTCGCGTTCAGTTAATACATGATTCCTACCCAGGAACACAGGGTTCATTGCAGTAGTGCCTTCTGTGACCACATAAATTTGTGACAAAGTAAGTTCAATCTTCCTCCTACTTTCTAAATTTTTCCTTATCTTAACCCACTGCCTCTCCAGCCTTTTCTTGAGCGGCCATCTTTTCACCCTTGGAATGTAGTCACGCATCACATAATGAAGGGGATGCAATCTGAGAAATCTGTCATTGTGCAAACGTCATAGAATGCACTTACACAAACCCAGATGGTATAACCTACTACACACCTAGGCTATATGGTACAGCCTATTGCTCCTAGGCTACAAATGTGTACAACATGCTACTGTACTGAATATGGTAGGCAATTGTAACACAATGATAAGTATTTGTGTATCTAAACACATTTCAACATAGAAAACGTATGGTAAAAATATGATATAAAAGATAAAAATAGTAGTCGCGTATAGAGCACTTACCATAAACAGAGCTTGCAAGACTAGACGTTGCTCTGGGTGAGTCAGTGAGTAGTGAGTGAATCTGAAGACCTAGGATATTACTGTACCTACTGTAGACTTTATAAATACTATACACTTAGGCTACCCTAAATTTATGAAAAATAAAGTATTTGCACTATGACATTACAACAGCTACGACGTCACCAAGTGAAAGGAATTTTCTAGCTCCATTATAATCGTATGGGACCACCATGGTTGATATGTTCTGTTATTGACCAAAATGTCATCATATGGTGCACGACTATACAAAAAGCCTCCTGTTTCCCTTATCCTCCTGACTTACCTTCCTCTCATTCATCCTCCTCCTGCTGTCAGTTTTTTTTTCTAACATAAGAACTTCCAACCCTTGCCAGTGTGGAGGTTCACGCCTATAATCCCAGCAATTTGGGAGGCCGAGGTAGGAAGATCACTTGAGCCCATGAGTTCGAGACCAGTCTGGGCAACATGGTGAGACCTTGTCTCTACAAAAAGTTTAAAAAATTAGCCAGGCGTGGTGGTGCTCTCCTGTGGTCCCAGCTAATTGAGAGGCTGAAGTGGAACAATCGCACAAGCCCAGGAGGTCAAGGCTGCAGTGAGCTATGATCATACCACTGCACTCCAGCCTGGGTAACAAAGCAAGACCCTGTCTCAAAACAAAAACAAAAAACTTCCAACCCTTATTTCTCCTTCAGTGTCCTCGAAGATATGACCTCTAACTCTTCAGCTACATCTAAAATCATTTCTTCCTTGCCATTCAATGCTTTAGCCAGCCAGCAACCTGCAATAAGATTTCCAAAACAGAAGACCAGTATCCACCCTCAAGACAGGGGAATGGAACCATATTAAATAAATTACATTTTAGGTACTGTGCTACAGACCAAGTCAACCACCTTTTCTGGAGTTTCACCTGACCATCAGATAGAACTTATCGCTTGTTCCTTTCTGCCACCATTGTGCCTTGGTCTCACCTCTATTAGACACCTTATCACGGCCAGGCATGGTAGCTCACGCCTGTAATCCCAGCACTTTGGGAGGCCGAGGCAGGTGGATCACTCGAGGTCAGGAGTTCAAGACCAGCCTAACCAATATGGTGAAACCCCGTCTCTACTAAAAATATAAAAATTAGCCAGGTGTGGTGATGTGCACCTGTAATCTCAGCTACTTAGGAGGCTGAGGCAGGAGAATCGCTTGAATCTGGGGGCCGGGGGTTGCAGTGAGCTGAGATTGCACCACTGCACTCCAGCCTAGGCAACAAGAGTGAAACTCCATCTCAAAAAGAAAGGAAACCTTATCACAATGTGTCATGATTTTTTGTCACATTCCAGGCCCTCTACTAGGCTGTTGCTCCCTAAAGGCAAGGGTTGCTTTAAGCAACCTTGAAGCTCTAGCACTTGCCCACTGGGTAGCACACAGTAGGCACTCAATAAATGCTTGCTAAGACACTAAAGGCACTGTAAACTATAAAGTACTATATCAGTTGAAAAGAGATAAACCTGTTACCTACTGTTCTGTGTTCAGTTCACTACTCACTTCCTATCCTCCAGACATAAACTGAAGATGGGAAAAGTAAGGATGTGATCAAGTCCTTGCAAATGGCCTTTGCAAGTGCTGTCTCAGCAATGGCCTAGCTCCTACTCCCAGCTGGACACAGAGCCTTTCCCAGTAGCACTGACCAGTACAGGAATGTGGGTGGAATGGGAGAAGGTAATTAGGAAGGAGGGTGATGCTTTATTTACACAGCAATTAACAATGAATACTGAAGTTTATTCAGTCGAATAGGCATTTATTGAATGCAGACCATATGCTGGGCACTATGTGGTGTGCATAGCAAGCTTTTCATGGTAAAAGAGAAGGATGAAAAGAAGAAATGTAACATGAAGAGAAAGTTAAAGGGTAATTTGATCTTGTTTGTATATTGGGAAAAGGTCATTTTTACAAAAGAGGTAACCAGCTGTTCCTCATCGCCAACGAACAAAAATCAAAAGGAAATGGGGTTAAGCTGTGCCATAAGGTACTGAAGTTAGGCAGAAGAAAAAAGGTGCTGACATCAAAGGGTGTTAAACCTATTTGTGGTTTATAATTTTGTGTTCAGGAGGTCCTTAGTTTCAGAGGATCTGAGCAGTTGTATTTGAGGAAAGGAGATGGAACTGATGAATTCTCAAGATACTTCTTGAGACCATGAATGACTTTTTTGCTTTTTAATATGGGCCCATGTATAAAATAGATTAAGTGATACAATGTTTTCAACTTCTGTATACCACCTGCTTTGGAAAAACTATTAAAATCCAGTATGTGAGAGGGCCGACAAAGCATGAAGAGCAGAATAAATTATAAATGACTAAAATTAAAAGGCAAAGGTTCCTGGTGGAAAGAATACAACTTTAGAGTGCTAATGACAGAGGTTCCCAGTATCTTTTTGTCATTTATGGCCTATTGGACCTTGCAAAAAATGTACACAGAGCACACCATGAAAAATGAAGCACGCATGCACACACAGGTATGGGCATGCCTGTGTATGTATATGCGAACACAAAGTGCCTAAGAGGAAATAACAGTAGTCCCCTTAGGAGAGTGATACCATTAGCGGTTTCTATTTCCTTCACTGTTTTCCAATCCTACAATAAGCGTCTCTTATTCTTACAGTGGGCAGTCAGGGGTGGAAATACCCCTCTTTGCTCAAAAAAATCTGGCTAGGTTTTTTTGACAATATAATTCTTCATGCCATTCTTTATTATGCTATGAAATAACTTCTCTGTTAATCAGAACACCTGCTGTCAGCCAGATTATTTCCTTATTAGTCATTGAAGACTTCCATGACTTCACGACACACAGTTCCCATCTTCTGTAGTATTTCATCATAAAGGCATGTAAAATTGCTATTTAATAGCTTCTTATTCTTAGATACTACCCATTCAGTTTTCTTACTTGTGGGAAAATTACACCACTGAGATATAAGAAAAACTGCAGCCAACTATAATAATTCTACATTTTGGGTGGAAACAAAGGAAGGGTGGGAGTTTTGTACTATATTTTCAATAAATTTCAATAACTTCCAAATGTTTATGCTTTCCAGGTTTATTCACACCTGTGGGACAAAAAAAAAGCAATAATACAGGGTACAACTTTTTTTCAGCAATAGGCTAGTTCTTTTACTGGGATAAATTATATATATTTTTCCTAATTGTTATCCCTTTGAGATCTGGCTGACTGACTCATAAAACACAGAATCCATTCTGTTATCACTTAGCGTGTTAGACCAGCTCAGCTCACAGACAAGCTGAAGTACATCACACAGGACTCAACGGAACTGAAGCACTTCTGGTGAAATACAATCCCACAGAAAAATTACAAAGTCCTTCTTTAAATGATTCACTTCATCAGTTAATATTCTTGGCCATGAATTACATATTAAGAATAAATTCAGGAGATGTTTCATTTATTTATCTGAGGTATTATAATTTAAATAATACATAGAATTTCAGAACAACAACAAATCATAGCTTGGAGCTCACATGGCCACTACCTCGAATATCACCAGCAGGAAACAGAGGACTGCAGTGTGAATGGTTTGCTCCAGGGATTGTAGCTGGTCAGTGACCTCATTGCTACGTGGCCACAAGCCCCATATTCCGAATTCTGGTACAGATTCTTTCCCAACATGCGAGGCTGCTCATCTAGCAAGGATATTGGAGATAACAGCCCAGAAAGCATCATACGTGCCTCCAACTTCCAAACACTGCTTTTTAGGAAAAAGCTGCCTCCTTTTCCTAAACACAGTAGTAAAGCAGGGAAAAGCTCAGCTCTCTGGGCTAGGGAGGGAAAAGCTTGATTTTTCACTAACACAGGGAAGACAGAGCAGTGGGTGGGAGGTGAACAGCACAGAGAATGTGGAGAGGCTGTGAGGGAAAACTCACAATTCAGGGACCCCGGAGTCCTGAAAAAGAGGACACACTGCCCACCTATGGAAGCAGTCTAATTTCCCAGTTTCCATTTATCATCTTCAAATCAACCACTTCCATTTTCAGAGCTTAAGCTTTCGAAGACCTTCAATATGAATGAAATAAATGTGGATGTTAGCAAGACTCTTGCTTAAAAAGAACAAGTTCTGTGCCCTGTTACAATGGATTTTCCTAGTTCTAAGTGACCCATTTGTATTCGTCACCTCATGTGCTTCATTTCTGCGAGTGTTAGTTGGATTCTGCCAGAAATCCCTCTGCTTATTTTTTTAACCAAGAGGGTGTTATATTCCACATTCTGTGAATTTGATTACATCAACAGGCACATTCCACTTACCAATGGGGTGAGGCCTAAATATCGTATATCAGCACTCTAGGATTTAGTACCCTTACCCAGAAAAATGAAAATTTAAGGCTGGACAACATTTACCCCAAATAAAAAGCATTCTTTGGCCAAAAGTGTTTGGGAAGAGAATTGAAAAAATAGCAGGCACGAGAGTTCAATTGGTCAATATTTTAATTGTTATGGCTTTAATCCTTATCTTTATTCCCACCTCTCTCTTTCTTTCTCTTTCTTCCTTTTTCTTCCTCCCTCTTCCTTCCTTCCTCTCTCTCTTTCCTTCTTTCTTCTTTCCCTTTCTCTCTTTCTCTCTCCTTCCGGTCTTTTCTTTCTTTCTCTCTCTCTTTCTTTCTTTTTCTTCCTCCCGCTTCCTTCCTTCCTTCCTTCCTCTCTCTCTCTTTCCTTCTTTCTTCTTTCTCTTTCTCTCTTTCTCTCTCCTTCCGGTCTTTTCTTTCTTTCCTTCCTTCTTTCTCTTTCTTTCTTTTATTTCTCTCTCTCTCTCTCTTTTCTTTTCCCTTTCCCTCTCTCTCTCTTTCTTTCTCCTTTCTTTTCTTTTCCTCCCCTCTCCTTCTTTTTTGCGACCTGGCTGGAGTGTAGTGGGAGGAACATGGCTCACTACAGCTTCAACAACCCAGGTTCAAGTGATCCTCCTGTCTCAGTCTCTCGTGCGGCTGGGACCACAGGTATGTGCCGCCAACCTGGCTAATTTTTTGAGTTTTTGTAGAGACAGGTCTCACTTTGTTTCCCAGGCTGGTCTCCAACTCCTGGTCTCAAGTAATTCTCCTGTCTTGGCCTCCCAAAGTGCTAGGATTACAGGTGTGAGCCACTCATGCCTGGCCTATTCCTTCCTTAAAAAAAATCAAACAATAATAAAAATCTAAGAACTCCTCAAATCCCAGCTTACATAGTAAGCTTTTCCAGAATAAGCAAACTGGGCATGGATTCTACATTTGGCCTTCTTTATGGCAATCACATTTGGTCTATTATACATGAAAAATTATAAAGTAAGAATATAGAATAAAATAAAGAAGCTCAACCACAAAGAGAAATCAGCAATGGATACTACTTGTGAGTGTGACAGATATCATGCCACTTGAAGCTATAAACTCTAAGCAGAGTTGAAGCTACCCTATGAGCTCTAGTTCACATATTTATTACATTTTAGACACCAGAGGTAAAAGCAGGACCAGTGTAATAGAAAGTAGTCCCCACACATAGCTGAAACTGCCAAGCCATGATTCCCTTTTGTTCTTCAAAACAAAAGCCAACTTGATAGAGTTGAAGACATACCTGTCTTAAAGAGACTTTTGCTTTCTAATAATTTTGTTGTTGTTGTTGTTGAGACAGGGTCTCACTCTGTCACTCAGGCGGGAGTGCAGTGGCATGATCACGGCTCACTTGCAGCCTCAACCACCTGAGTTCAGGCAATCCTCCCAACTGAGCCTCCAGAGTAGCTGGAACCACAGGCACACGGCACCATGCCTGGTTAATTTTTTGTATTTTTTGTAGAGATGGGGTTACACCATATTGTTCACGCTGGTCTCAAACTCCTGGGTTCAAGCAATCTGCCCACCTCGGCCTCCAAAGTCCTGGGATTACAGGCATGCACAACTGCGCCAGGCTGCTTTCTAATAAATTAAGTTAGATGTGAACAAAAACAAGCTGGGGAGGTGCAGTATACTACATTCCCTTCTGGCAGAATGCACATTATCAGATTAAAGACTCAGAGGGAAAGCAATCACATTTAACAATTATACAAATTTATTTGCACAGAGAGCTATTTTTTTCCCCCACGTTACACTTAGCATCCCGAACAATGTTTCTTTAACTACAGTTTAGGAAGTGCTAGAGTGATGAGTACCTAGGTCTCCTGCAAATCTGCTACCTGATCAACATTTCAGCTTTTTTTTTTCAGTTTAACAAAGTCATCTTAAAAAGGAGTGTAAACACAAGTCAAACAAAACAAGCCAACAGGTGTAGGGCAGGACCGACTTCATGCACACCTTGCCAGGGGAATAACAACACCAAACCAGGAAAAAGACACACGTGTCGCGACACAGTCCATATAAATGACATCGTGGTTGGACTCAGACCCAAATCCAGATCTTAAACCCTCCAAGTGTGACCCAGTGGACATTCAACTTCTTTAAAGCGCAGTTAAATGGGAATATCATGACCTGTCCTAAAAGGTATGAATCAGGGTTAAATGAGACAACATACGAAAATATGTGCCACAGTACCTGGCCTGGCCATGCCTCAGGCATTCCATACCTTTAGTCACTTTCCATCCTTCCCTAGTTCTCTGCGAGACAGAGGACAGGGAGGCTGAGATACAGTCACAGAAACCAAGGCCAGGTTATCTTGATTGTGTATTACAAGGTAATAACTAAGTATGCTTAGCCTGTAGTCCTAAAATGAAAAAATGTGGAAGAGCACAGGGGAACTAACAGAAGCAATTCAAGGTCATAGCCATGTAAAGGCAATTCAGTAAACTGACTGAAATCTTGCACAAGAAAGGAGAGAGGGGGAGGGTGGGAAAAAAACAGTGGAGGAGGAAGGAGAGAAGGAGAAAGGGAGAGAGAGGTGGAGAGAAAGAGACACCACTCCAAGGTTAGCTCTGAGTTTTTAAGAATGCAAGAGGAAAATCTCCATTTAATAGGACCTGGAAAGAAGTTACGTTTGCAATCTGAAAAACAGGGTTTTCAGAGTTAATGTTACTAACAGTCACTTTCCAAGGAGCACGCATATGAGAACTAAAAGCACAGCAGTTTCGGGCACACACTTCTATATGCAGATGCATTTGCTAATTACAAATTTTCCCGTCACTCAGGATGCAATGAAGATGTCTAATCAAAAGTCTGCAGGGGTAAAACAGAATGAGATAGGGGATACAGGTGAATTCTGTTCACAGACAGCCCTGTGACCTGGGACACGGTGCTCCCCCCTTCTCAAAACCTGGGGTGTTTCACTTGCACGGTTTTTAGAAGCCATCTCAAATGTCTGCTAACAATAGTACATTGCAATGCTGGCTACCTAAAAAGTCCATTTTTTCTCTAAGACAGAGACATTTTATCTGCCCATCACATGGATCAAATATCCCCAGTAATACTGAAAAGTAATATGACCTTTATTCACGGCATCAACTCAAGATGTGGATGGAGCTTGGTGTAGCTAAAACAGCAGACATGACATTGCACCTGCTGTTACCCCCACTCTCTAAGCAGGTAATATTATTAGCCGGGTATTGTGCTGAGAACCTTACTTTTGCATAGACTTCTCCATGAGGTATCCTCACTTCACCCATGAGAAAACTCCTGATTCCAGCTAATTTCTTCAACAAGGACTAAAGCTGGTAAGTGGCAGAGGCAGAATTCCAAGCCAGGCAGGTTTCACTTCAAGACCTGTTCCCTTTGTCACTACAGCTGCTGTTCATTCACACCAGGAATTTAGATATTGTTACATTTATTCCAAGTTTTTACATTTTATAAAGACTATAAAAACCGGTTTTTGCTTTAACAAAATCTGACACAGTATGTGGTTCCTTGACAGATGAGCCACGTGCAAGCTGAGGGCAGGAAGGGAACTTGTGGGTGACCTGATCCTCAACGCCCCCTTGAGCTTGGGATCTGAGAAGCGTGGGGGCATTTGCACAGGTGAGTAGGGTCACGTGACTACCTGGTGAGCCACAGTGCCAGGACCAGAGCACAGGGCTTGGACTCCAGAGTTAGGGATATGGCCAGTTTAAGATTTTCATCTGGGGTCGTTTTCCATATGTAGATTTCGCAGAGTTAATGTTCCATTCATAACTAGGGCAAATCGGTAGGAAATTACAAAGGGGAGTATATTCCCAGTGCTTTGTCATACTTGAGGAAATGAAAGGATTTAAGCATATCTGGCTTGAAAAAATATTTTCTCTATAAAAGTTAATCTACAATTACGTTTAATGTGAAATATTATATAGAAAAACATCCCATGTGTTTTGGTTGCTAGAGGACATTTTATAGTTTATGTTTTATTACTGGTCCCTGGTGTGTTTCTGAAAAACTCCCTCTGGGAAAGTTTATTCCGGATAATGGCTGACTTTAGCCATGAGCATTTCCAATCATCTCACACGCAGAGTCTCCAGGGCATGTGAGAGTGTATCGTGTTGTCCAAAGGCCTGAGATATTTGCTTTTCAGTAATGCAAATACAGCTCTGGCATGGGGCGGCTCCCTTGGCGTTGACAAAAGAGAACACAAATAGTAACGTTGCCAAAATCACTTTCCTGGTTGGCCACAGCATTTTGTGGTACCTAATGTTTTGTGAAACCAAACAACCCCAAAAAACTCTCTAAACTTCTTTCTGTAATGTTCCAATATATTCAAAAATATTTCCAAGACTACCAAAGTTTGTCACATAAAGGTTAAGCTTGATTATTTATCATTTCATGGTTTCTCCATCACACCATAGTTAGGTTAATTTACATATAAATGCTATTTTCTGAGATCTGAGAAAAAACACACCCTGAGATGTGCCAGGTTTGCTCTGCGGCTTGCTTACCCCAGCTCTACATCACGTGCATGCATGTACCCCTGATGGAGAAGGACGGGGATATGATATTAAAGACACCAGGTACTACACGGAAAATCAAGACAACGAAAAATGAGGCTGAAATGTACACATGTATGTATCTGTCCACTGCACCTCCTTCTCCTTGGGGTGGTTCTCTTTTCCCCATGGAGCCTTCCTCCCAGCATTCCTGCCCTATTGCAGGGTCTTTTACCTCCAGACCCTCAAAAATCTAGCACTCTTGCTATGAAAAGGACTCCCTGGAATTGATAATTCCTATATCCTTTCAAGGCAACTGTAGTAGGCTGAATAACAGCCCCCAAAGATGTCCACACCCTAATCCCTGAAACCTATAAATGTTACTTTAGGTGGCAAAAAGGAAATGTGCAGGTATAGTAAAGGATCTTGAAGTGGGGAGATGATCTGAGATTGGGTGGGCGCTAAATGGAATTCCAAGTGTCCACAGAGAGAGAGAGATTTCACTGCAGGATTGGAGAAAGCAATGTGACAACAGAAGCAGAGAATGAAGGGATACATTTTGAAAATGAGAGAAGGGGCCACAAGCCGAGGAATTTATCATTTTTAAAAAGCCATCAGAATCCAGCATCTACTAGGAGCTGAAAAGGCAAGGACACATTCTCCCCAGAGCCCACAGAACCTAAGAGAATAACTTACTGTTGTTTTAAGCCACTACCTTTGTGGTAATCTGTTGCAGTGGCAACAGGAAACGAACATGCCCACCGTCCAGGTGCCCTTCACTTGCCATTCTTTTCACACTTTTGCGCCTTTAGTTACAGGGACACCTGACACATTGAGTTACATTTACATGTAGCTATAGCCACACTTTACTACCTTCTCAGCAAGGGTACCCTAGTTCAGGTACTTGTACAAAACATTACAACCTGCTTGACACAAATTAGAAAATTATCCTCTTTACAAAATCATTCTCTTTAAAGAATTTCTTTAAATAATAAACACCACTGATGCATTCGAAACAAACGGGTCCAAAATATTTCACCTTCGTTTTCTTCTGAATGCGTGTCTATCTACATACTAAAGGTAAACATATTTAGCAATGGTATTTGAGTTACCTATCCTTTCTGAGCTTCAGTCATCTTACCAGGAAAATGGTGTTGCCATGTGAATGAAATAAATAACACAAATAAAACTCCTACTATAGTTCCTAGTACAGAATGAGTGTATGCTGGTAGGAGTGTTTCTGCCACAGCATGTGACATCTAGCTATCAGACTGATCTTTTGTGGTCCTTATGGAGAGCTGCCTTAAAAGCTACAAGATTGATCTATAAGACAAAAAAGAAATCACTCTGATTTCTCTCTCTGAGCAAAAATACAAAAAGCATTCAACAAGGCAGGGTCAGAATGTCCACAGCTAAGGCACGCCACTTGAAAGCATCGGGTTGAAGGCACAGAAGAATCATGTGTCTGGTCTACCTGGAGTCATTCCCAGCAGCCTGGCTGCCTCCACTAGACAGCCATTTTATACCCACAGCATGCAGTGACCAGCGCTCCAGAAGACCCAGCTCACTTACATCTGCACCCCAGCACCCCTGTCTGTTGTCCTTGATGCTGATCTTCGGTCCCTCAGGTTTGGGAATAGTCATCTCAGAGGTTCAGAGTCAGCACAGACTGAACCTAGGGCCTGAAAAGGACTCAGATTCCACTTTGGTCCACTTTAATGGAGCAATGGTCAATTCCTAGCCCTGTCACCATTCCTAGCCCTGACCTGCAAGACAGGCATGCAGCGCCTCACTCAGGCTTTGCCTGAAACCTCTGGGTCCATTTGTACTTAACAGTACAGACACGTGCTCACAGAGGACAGGAAGTAAAAGGCAAAATGATTAAGAGAAACTGGAAGAATGAAGGGAAGTTTTTCTTTTTGATCCTGTGCTTTCTCCTGTTAGTGGGAGAATATTCCTCCAGGTTACCAATGGCCTTCAGAGATGACAATAATGGAGAACCCAGCATTTATCACAGCTTCTTCAGAGCGCTTGTTTAAAGGCTACACTTCCTGATAGATGACAGACTCTGGGAGGACAGGAAATCTGCCTATCTAGGGTGACATTTACTCTACAGGTCCTAGCAGAAGGTCTGACACATAGTATTTCAATCACTTGTTTACTCTGATAACTCTTTTTTATTGAAGACACCTAGGAACCGGAAGAGGCAATGGTTTCCTGAACTGGTATAGGATAAAATTAATCTAGACTTTATACTGATTGTTCTCACTCAATTGTCTACACCCTTTGTGGGCCCAAGATGTGGTCAATGGGCCTAGGACATCATAAAAACAGATACCTCATTTTCTTCTACTTTTCCATGCCTACCATAAGATATTCCTACTGGAAGGGATTTATTTCTCTTCCTTACTCCCAGGAAATGACCCAAGGACTAGACAGCAGCCTGCATGTGCTGTGGAGCCCAAAGAAGTCAATGTGAATTTTTAAAATGGAGAAATAATATGAGATGAGGCCACTGGGTATTTTTGAAAACAGTCAGTATATAATGGGCTCTCAGCTCATAAGGGAGTTATAACTCATCAAGGAGATAAAACTTACAGTTTTTATAACTCACAGTGCCTTGAGCTATCAATTTTCAGGCCCTCAGGCCATCATTCACAATTCAACATTGGGAAATGTTGTCCAGGCTTCCCTGTTCAGCCTCTCCCTGCCTGTTCACTCTCTCTGACTGACCTCACCCACACATCCCATTTCTACCGCTTGTTAGTGACAGTGATGGTGAATCCATCCCCAGGCTGAATCTTTCTCTGGAGTGCTGGGTATTTATGCCCAATTACCTTCTGGAAGTTCCTGATCATGGGCACAGAGCCCTCCCAGATGCCACATGAATGCATTAGTTTTCTATTGCTGCATGACAAATTATAACTGGTTTTCTTCTCAGGGTCTCCCAAGTGTAAAATCAAGGTATCAGCCAGGCTGTGTTCTCATCTGGAGCTCAAGATCCTCTTCCAAACTCACATGGCTGTGACAGAATTCAGTTCCTTAGAGCTGTAGGACTGAGGGCCCCATTTTCATGCTGGATGCCATTTGGGGGCCACTCCCAGCACCTAGAGGTTACCTACTTCCTGGCCACGCATTCTCCTCCATCTTCAAACCAGCCACGGTCCATCAAATCCTACTCCTATTTGAAATCTCCCTGGCTTCCCCTATCTCTGTTCTCTCCACCCAGATTTAAACGGCTCATGTGATAGGTCAGGCCTGCTCAGATAATCTCCCTTTCCTAAAGTCAGCTCGTCATGGAAGTAAAACTCATTCCAGCTGCAGTCTCGGGGGTTACGTGGAGGGAGTGCCCCAGAGGGTGAGAAATCCTGGCGCCATCTTGGACTGGAATGCTGCCCAGAACAATGGCTGCAAGCAAACTCCTCTCTCCCATTTTTCACCTACCCCAAACAACAGCTAACAATCGCTACAGCCTCTGTGCAAATGAACTGAATTATCCAGCTTCAATGCAGTTAAAAACAGAAAACAAACAAAATCTGGCTAGATGATGTTTAAAATCAATACAGAAAAGCCAAAAGTAAAAGGAGGTAAAAGATCTGCCAGGCAAATTCTAACTACAAGAAACTCACTGTAGCCAACTGAATATCAAATAAGAGCCTCTAAGGCAAAAACACATTGCTAAAGATAAGGAATGTCATCTCCTTAACAAGAAGAAAAGTATAAAGTTAGAGAAAGGAGATAGCATTTAATATTCACGAGGCTGGTAAAGATTAAAATAAATTGAAAATACAAGTCTTGGCAAGAATGTAGATCTAAGGAAATTTTTATAAACTCCTGGTAATTCACTTAAGAATATAAGTTTGCATTATTTAGTGAAGTTAAAAATGCCCACTCCCCACTACTAAGCAATTCTACTCCCAAGTATTATGTCCAAAAACAAATTTGCCCAAGACATTTACTATTTTTGTAGCCACATCATATGTAACACTTGAAATCTGGCAAGAAGCCAAATGTCTATCACCAGGAGAATAATAAAGTAAGTTGAGGTAAAATTCATACAATGGAACTTTATGTAGCAGTGAGAATGAATACACTCCACCTACAGGAATTAACACGGAGTAAACTCAAGTAACCTTGAACAAAATAACTCATAATGCAGAAAATAATAGACTACAATTCCATTCAAATTTCATGTACTTGATTATGGAGCAAATAAGCAATTTGATTCATTATAGAAACTATGAAGAAACACAAGTGAATGATAAAATTAATAAAATTAGTTACCTTTGTGGGATAGAAAGGAGGATATGATCTTAGGTACACAGGGATCTTGAAAAGACTGAGTGTCTTAGCCAGGGAATTAGAAAAAAATACTTATTTTATTGTGGCTTTTATAAGTTATATGCATTTTTGGTACACACAGACAAAAGTCAAAATAGACAACTAACATACAGCAATGAATTAGTGCCAAGTGTGTGTTACTAATAATAAATTCTGTAGCAGCACCAAAGTCCCTTCTGGATGATATGGGTAGAAAGGGGATCAAGAAAGAGAAGTGTCAAAATACATAGCATGTACAGGATGCAAAACATATACCAGTCTCATTGGTCAGAAAGTCTGCCTGAGAGAAAAGCAGAATGCAAGGCTGAGGCCAATAATGGGGTACCTGTAACCCCAGCAAAATGCAGGCAGCACCCTATAGGGAATGGGGAACTTCCTGATGGCCTTGTTCAAGGAAGTCTTGGGACCAAACAGTACTTTAGTAACCCTCTTAGGTAGCAATCTATTGATGAAGGCCCTGGAAACAAAAGGGATCAGCTACTGCCATCAAGGAAGAAGGGGAAATTGAACTGAGGAGGCTACTAAGGAGCAGAGGGTATTACTGCAATGGGGTTCAGAGCCACGGCTCCCACACTGAGATACCACTGCATACCCACTAGGATGGCTATAAGCGAGAAGTCACATGACATCACATAATATCAAAAAGTCACATACCAGCATTGGCAAGGATGTAGAGGAATTAGAACCTTTCCACACTGCTGGTGAGAGTGTAAAATAAGGCAGCCACTGGGGAAAACAGTTTCATGGTTCCTCAAGAGGTTAAACATACAGTTACCATTCAGCCAGTGATTTCACTCCTGGGCATATACCCAGGAAAAAATGAAAACACATATCCTTGCAAAAACTTGTACATGCGTGTTCATAGCAGCATTATTTATCATAGACAATAAAAGGTGGAAATAGCCTAAATGTCCATCAACTGATGAATGGATAAACAAAATGTGGTATATCCATACAATGGAATATTATTCAATCATACAACAGAATGAAGCACACATACATGGATGTGGATGAACCTTGAAAACACTGTCGTAAGTGGAAGAAGACAGACACATGCAAGACTGCATGATGTATGATTCCATTTACAAGAAATGGGAAGGACAAGCAAATCTATAGAAATGGGAAGTAGGTAAGTGGCTGCTTAGGGCAGGGGGCTAGGGCTGTTCAAGTGTACCAGGTTACCTGTTTTAAAAACCTGATACATAACAGCTGTACATACTCGGGCCTATCTCTCAGCATTCAAGTCAAAATGGATTAAAGATGTAAATGTTAAACCTGAAACTGTGAAACTGCTGGAAGAAAACATTGGGGAAATGCTTCAGGACACTGGTCTGGGCAAAGATTTTTGAGTAAGACCTCAGAGTCAGGCAACCAAAGCAAAAACAGACAAACACAAGCTTTCTCCTAGAGGTGATGAAAATGTTCCTTAATTTAGTGTGATGATGGCTGTTCATATCTGTGACTATATTAAAAACCACTGAACTGTACATCTAAGTGGCTGAGTTATTTAGTATATGGACTGTAACTCAACAAAACTGTTATTGAAAAAAAAAAAAGCTCACTTGAAGTCAGGAGTTTGAGACCAACCTGAGAAACACAGCAAGACCCTTATCCCTACCAAATAATAATAATAATAATAATGAGCCATTTGTGGTGGCATGAGCCTGTAGCCACAGCTATTCGGGAGGCTGAGGTGGGAGGATCACTTGAGCCTAGGAGTTCGAGGTACAGATTGCATCACTGCACTCCAGCCTGGATGACAGAGTAAGACTCTGTGTCAGGAAAAAAAAAAAAAAAAAAAGCTAAAGCTCCCACAGCTCAGACCAGTCAGAGCTGAGGCCTCTCTGCCCAGTCCAGCACTACGTTCAGCCTTGGGACATGGCATCTAACCTTCCTCCCACAGGGTTTTTATGAGGCTATAATAAGACAAGTTGCATGAAGTTCTTAGCAGAGGCTGTCGTAGCACAGGGATTGCTGAAGGCTGAATGAAAAGTTAGACTCAAAAGAAGCAAGCATCAGGAAGTAAGAACTGGAGAATGGTTAAAGGGGACGAGGATGAGGAGAAATGCACATGGTTCTGAGGTTTCACACCTGAGGGGTGGGCACGATGAGCCATCATCAGCAAACGTCCCAGAGTTGCCTTCCTGTGTAAGGGAAGAGGCCACGTGTGAGATGAGTGGACGACCTGAGGGAAGGTGAGAGTTTCACACGGAGATCCCAAGGTCCATAAAGATGAACCTATTTTCTTTGCCAACTCTGAAAATTTGTCCCATAGAAGTATACATTTATCAGAGGTCATGTGGCCAGGCGCAGTGGCTCATGCCTGTAATCCCAGCACTTTGGGAGGCCGAGGCAGGCGGATCACAAGGTCAGGAGATTGAGACCATCCTGGTGAACACGGTGAAACCCCGTCTCTACTAAAAATATAAAAAATTAGCCTGGCATGGTGGTGGGCACCTGTAGTCCCAGCTACAGGCTGAGGCAGGAGAATGGCATGAACCTGGGAGGTGGAGCTTGCAGTGAGCCGAGATTGCACCACTGCAGTCCAGCCTGGGCGACAGAGTGAGATTCCTTCTCAAAAAAAAAAAAAAAAAAGAAAAAGTATACATTTATCGGAGGTCATGTGCAGATAACAGAAATCATGCTGGGTATTTTAACTAGAAGGTAACTTTATACAAGAATTCGGAGCTTATAAAATCAGGAGAGAGACTTGAAGAATAGCCTCTGAGCTGTGCCTCCAGGATGACCCCCAAGACCCAGACACCAGCACAGAGGGGATGCTACATGAGGAAACCTGTCCTCATACCACTGTCTCCAAGCACAGGACACAGGAGCCACCAGAGGCCCCACCAGAGCCCCATCCTTACATTGCCTCCAAGCATGGGCTACAGGGGCCACCATGGGGGCCCCACAGCGATGCCAGCTCTGGGCACAGCTCGCCTGCCAGTCAGGCCAGCAAGCTGATGTCTGGACCACACCATCCCTCTACCCACTTAATTCTGCTCTGTGTTCAAGTCTTACATAAGTGATTCTGACAGGCTAGTCATTTTCAGAACCCTTGCTGCCAGGGGATGATTTTTCAGCTTTCTAGTATCAGCAGGACAGGAAAAGACACAGACGGGAGATTGGAATGGATGTTAAATGATTGAATCTACCTTATCTGCCATCTCATCTCAAAATAACAACAGCTTAATTTTAGTGAGGTGAGTAACAAATGTTCTGGGAATGCTTGCTGCAAGTATCTATCTATCTTATCTATCTCCATCATCCATCCATCCATCCATCCATCCATCCACCCATCCACCCATCCACCCATCCACCCATCCACCCACCCAACCTTTCAATTTAAGAAGCAATGTTCATGTCAGCCTCAGAACTGCTAAGCCAGCTTCTCTTACTAACTGCCACATAGACCCAGCAAGACAGTAGCATCCTTAGAAAAACCAATCTTGCCAAAGCAACAAATTGTTTTTCTTTCTCCTCTGTGAATCAATCAATTAAAACAAGCAATCCCCAAAGGAGAATGAGTAGACAGCACAGGGCTGTAATGTTGTGGAACTGCTTTATTTTCAAAGAAATGAAATAGCAAGACATTCAAAATTAAAGCATAGAGCCGGATCACGGAAGTTTCCGACACGGAGATGGATTCACAGGATCTAAGTGCTCACCTGGGAAAGTCCAGGAAGAAAAGCACTCCCAGAAACTGACCTGTAAGTTTTTCACAGTAGGTCTAATTTAGAGGTGCAGAACAAGGCAAGTCTTCTGAAACCCCGAAACATGCAGAAAATGCCACTGGTGTCCCCACATGCACGCGTATGTTCTTACACATCAACAGGGGCCCATTCCCTTCCACTCCTGCCATTTTTGTACCAACTTGTCTACCTAGTTCTAATCAATGCAAAGAGCCAACCAATTACAACAGAAGAAACGCCTCTAAGTTTCATCTATCACTAAATAAACAGTACGTGTTTGTAAGCCTTTACTTCTAACTAACCTTAGTAAAATCAATGTAAAACAATTTACTGGTGTTTTAATCTTTCTTATTTGGGGCTAAAAAAATCTAATTTCCTTTCTGTGATTCACACTCTGTCTCAGGGGGTGCTCTTGGAGGATGTTTCCTAGATTGGAGCTGGCTCTTTAGCATTCTGTTTTTCAGTACAGTCCCAACTTCTGCACCTCATCAAGTAAAAACAAACAACCCTCTCCCTGGATACTTCTCTAGACACAATAGAATGGCAGCAAAATAACAGCCTACTGGCTCTCAGTGTTGTATACCAGTATGCCAGTGAGCACTCATAACCCAAACCAAAATGATACACACGTAAGAATGAACCAAGAGACTCAGAATACCAGGGCAATAAAACGGGAAAAAAAATGAATAGCAAACGAAAAACTCTACTAATTTATATGTCATTTAAATTTTTTCTGACCCCGAGTCTCTGTGATATTAAGATGTTGCTTAATGAAGTTTTAGATTTGAGGCTTCCTCCAATTCAAGGAACTTACGTAAATCTGTTTTGAAAGATTTACTCTATTTTATTACGACAAAATAAATGACAAATTGATCTTAACCTAATTTTCCCAATGTTATTATCCTACTCTAAAAGGCCACCACGCCACACAAATTAAAATCTGATCACCTGCCCAGTGCCAACATCAAGGGAATAAATGCTGGGGTGCATGGGACATAATTTTGAAACAGGCAACACACACCATGCCCAGACCCTTCCTGCCATCTGCTTCACTGAAACCCTGGGGACTTGCATAGGAGATTGTTTCCTTTTCCTTATAAGCCTGGACTTTAAAGCACTATCATAAAAAACACATAATGTAGTAAGAGGAAGGAAATTAAAATGCCATCGATAAGCGAGGTTAACTTCAATCTTCAATCCAATCTGTGTGCATTAGGTACATGCCAGACCACAGGAACTGCACAACCAAGCACATACTACAAGACCAGCAGCAGCTATACTGAGGGAGGCATTCAGATGAGGGTTGATCTCTCGAAAAGGAAACATATCCACCAAAGGACAGCCATTCATTATACACAGTCGGTGAGATTATAAGAAAGTGGTTTTGGTCTATTTTTTCCCTTCAAAATTTCTTCATTAAACATTTAGTTAGAATTGTTGTATATTTCTTCATTCAATCTTTAGATGCTTTTTGAAAAGAAGAGCTCAACAAAGTAAAAGAAGTACATTAAAGTAGCACATGGCACCACCACTTACCCAGTTTCATAGTTTTGTGATCTAGGGTAAGTGACTTGACCTCCCCTAAGCTTTGGTTTTGTCTGCTGCTGCTGGTAGTGGTAGTGCCTACCTTGGTGTTTTTTTTTTTTTTTTTTAGTTTTTTCAGGATCATATGGAATAATGCCTGGACAGAGCTCAATAGAGAGCCTAACCCATTCTCAGCACTCAATGGCTATCATAACTACCAAAATCCCAAATCCCTGATCCCATTCTCAATAGCTCCTTCTTCCTTACTATTACCTTTCATATGTGACTACAAATCCTCCCAATTTTACATCTAGACCACCCTCAAATCTCTTCATTTCTCTTCACCTCTGTAATCCATGCTACCATAATCTGATGAATGAATGAACGAATGAACAAGCGGCCATTCTTTCAGACAGTCACTCTGGCAATGCTGCCAGCAGGTGGATATGCACATTAAGTGAAGACTCACTGGTGATAGTGGCATGTATAGGCAGCAATGATTAAAGTCACCTTTCTTTCCAGAAAGAGTATTTTCCTAACTCCACTCTAGCCAACCTGCCTCTGAGTCGGTATGTTTGGCCCTTTGAAATTAAAGGAAAAAACTAAATAAGCAATTCATGCTTTATATATTCAGTAGTCCTATAACTTATACACTGCACATCACTGTTTCTTCTCTCACAACTTGTCATCACTGCATTTGCTTCTTTTTCCTCTTTCCTGTTAGGTTTGTATCCCTCATCCTCAGTGCCAGAATGTAAGCTCCATGAGGCCAGGGCTATGTCTGACTTGTTTATGATCATAGTTCCAGTGCCTGGAACAATGTTTTACACGTAATAAGAGCTACATAAATATTTTTCAAATTGATCTCCCCACTTCTATTCTCATCGCTACTCCTTTAAACCCTTCACACCCTGCTGACAGTGATCTTTTAAAAATATACATCTGGCCAAGACCACTCAAAAAGGAAAAGACTGTCTCTTCAACAAATGGTGCTGGAAAAACTGAATATCCATGTGCAAAAGCATGAAACTGGACCTTTATCTTGTAACATATACAAAAACTAACTAAAAGGAGATGAAAGACTACAGGTAAGAGCCAAGCTATAAAACTTGTAAGGGAAAACATAGGAGTAAATCTTCATGATCTCAGATTAGACAATGGCTTCTTAGATATGACCCCATAAGCAACAACAAAAAAAAGTAGATAAACTGGGCTTCATCAAAATTTAAAATTTCTGTGCTACAAACAATACCATCAAGTGAAAAGACAGCCCAATGAATTAGAAAAAATTTTTTGCAAATCATGTATCTGATAAGATACTGACATTAAGACTATATAAAGAATTGCTACAACTCAGTGATAAAAGACAAGCAACCCAATTTAAAAACGGGCAAAGGATTTGAACAGATATTTCCCAAGGAAGATATTCTGGTTATTTGTAGCTAACAAACACATGAAAAGTTGTTCAACATCTTTAATCATCAGGGAAATGCAAATCAAAACCACAGTGAAATACCACTTTATACCCACTAGGATGGCTATGACTTAAAAAAGGAAAGTTTTGGCAAGGATGTGGTGGAACTGGGACCCTCACACATTGCTAGTGGAAATGTATGGGGTGTAATGTATGAAATGTAAAGTGGTGTAGCCACTTAGAAAAACAGTCTGGCAGTTCTGTTTTAGAAGGTTAACCATAGAGTGACCATATACCCCAGCAATTCCACTCCTAGGTATATACCCAAGAGAAATGAAAACATATGTCCACACAAAAATTTGTAGATGAATGTTTATAGAAGTATAATTCATAGTAGCCAAGAAGTAAAAACAACCTAACTATCCGCCAAGTGATGAATAAACTACATGTGATATATCTATACAATGAAATATTTTTTGGCAATAAAAAGAATTGAAATGCTACGACATGAATGACCCTTTGAAGACTTTACAGTAAGTGGGAAAAGCCAGTTGCAAAGCAATGTCCAGAACAGGTAAATCTATAGAGACAGAAAGTAAATAAGTGGTTGCCTTGGGCTGGGGAACTGGAGAGACATTGGGAATGACTAATTGGTACAGGGTTTCTTTTTGGGGATGATGAAATGTTCTAAAATGGAATGTAGTAGTGATAGTTATACTGCTGTATGAGTATACTAATTTGATTGAATTGTATACTTCAAATGTGTGAATTACATGGTATGCTAATATTTCAATAAAGCTGTTATTTTAAAAATACAAATCTGACCACATCATTCCTTTGCTAAAATTTTTCAAAGGTTTCACATTGCACTGAGGAGCAAGTCCAAGTTCCAATGAGACTTGCAGACCTGGGTGATTCGGCCCCAGTTTTCTCCTCCAGCCTCATCTTGCACTACTCCCAACACAACACATACACATAGTAGTTGCTCAATAGACACTAACCTAATGAACTGATTTTACAATAGACTTCAACAGTATTAGCTGTCAATGAAGCCAACTTCACCCTTCATAAGTGGCATGAGAATGGGAAAGCAAATACTAAGGTATATAACTTTCAAATGAAGCATTTATCCAAACTTCTTCATACATATTTTTTTCTATTTCTAGTGTCCAAGCAGAGATCTTAAGAGCACCCTGCACTCAGTACATGCTAACTTGGATACATAAGGCTCCTTGGTTCCTCCAAGAGACTTTTGCATTCTCTTACATGGGTATCTATTTCCTACAAGTAGATAGCCAAGAACATGGAGATAAAAGTAGCTAAGCAGGTGCCCTGCATTGGACAAATAACCAAAGGAGAAAAAAGTTGACCCTGACACCCTAAACATTTTCCATAGTTACAATCACCACTGTTCTCAGCATAACTTCAGCAACTGTCATGAGAAGGGAGTAGGCTGCCTCCAAGAAAGTGAAGGTTTGGTTAGCCTATCACATCATTCATTCATTCACCAATATTTATTGAGTGTTCATTACGTGTCTCGTGTCATTTCCAGTGCTGAGGATGGAAGAGAAGGCTAAGGAGACACAATCTCTGCTCTAATGAAACAAACATTCTGTTGGGTGGAGACAGATTATCAATAATTAGGCAAAAGTATAATAGTATGTCAGGTAGTGGTAAATGCTATCAAGCAAAATAAAGCTATGGAAAGTGGCACTAACAGAGCCAGAGTACTCAAGGTACCCTGCCTTGAGCTGAGAGGGTGACATTTGAGCAAAGACCTGAATCAGGTGAGTTTGCCATGTGTCAGTGGGGCAAAATCCTGTTATAGTCCTGGGGCAAAGCCTGCTTTGAGAGCCAAAGGAACAGAAAGGAGTCCAATGTGGCCGGGACACAGAAAGCAAGGGAGAAGCAGCATCCCACTAGGTTTTTAAATTTAATTCTGAGAGGTCACCAGAAGGTTTTCTTCCTTTCTTCCTTCCCTCCCTCCTTCCTTCCTTCCTTCCTTCCTTTCTTTCTTTTAGCAGAGGGATACAGCTTCTTTTTGAACACCAAACTCTGGGTTAATCAAAGCTGATAGTTAAGGATAGCCACAGAAATCTATATCAGCCTACAGCATTAGAGAAGCTAATAAATTTAAGAATTCAACGTACCTAAGATCAAAGGCATCTAATTGCTGAAATACAAGAGACCAAGCATCTAATTCATAACTGTACAGTCTACGTAATTTTTACTGGCCAGCTCTTCTCCCAGGCCCTGAGTCTCACAGAGGCAGGGGTTGTGCTGGGCTGTGCTGATCTTGTCCACCACGGTAGCTGCTAGCTACCCTGGGGAGCTGCTAGCTCCCCAGGACCCAGAACATGGCACGTTGTTTGTCAGGAAACATATTTGCGACACATATGCTCAATATTCATTCAGCACACACACAGATGGATTTCAAAGTCATCTCAAGAACACGAAGTGACCTGCATTTGAAATAATCCTTAGGAGACTTGTGAATTGACTAGAATCGCCTCAGAAAAAAGTACTAAGTTATAAACAACAAAAACTTATGAATCACTAACTACTAGATTCAAGAAAGACTTTTCTAGACTCCTGACTGAGAATCTCGGTACAAGGCAATGAGAGCTTTCTGGTTTTTTCCTGCAGAACGTCTACATGAAAGCTGTAGCACCAAAAATAATGCTGATTGGCTGCAGGGTTTTGAAAAGTGGGCTAATATAAATTTGTTCTAAATCAATATCCTTTCATGCACACATAAAAGCAAGTTTGAAGAGCATAATGCATATAAACTGGTGAAAAATTCTAAATCAATAAAACTTGCCTCTTAGCCCTATCAGAAAAAAACAGACGTAGTGGGAACGATGACATTTGTTACACAGAGTTGTAAAAAATGCCTTTCAAGTTAGAAATAGAAGATGCGATTTCTGCTTTCTAAAACTTACAGCAAGACTGAAATATGGAGTGGGCTAACAAAGTTGAGAATTTAGTAAAAGAGAAGCGTACATCATTTTGGGAAAGGGGAGAATTCTATACAATGAGCACTATCTACATTTTTAGGGATTAAATTGCTAAACTTAAACTGAGACAAGATAAATCAAGTTAATCTCAGGATAGTTTTAATGGAAGACATGGTATAGTAAACTAAATATAACAGGGTTTTAGTTCCATGAGGATAATTCTTACTTTTGCTTTTATCAAATGAAATAACTTATCTTTGCTGGAATCACATAGTTTTAAACATGAAGAATACCCAGGTATATTTTGCAAGGAAATATTCTTAAGGCTACTATCTCTTACTCAAGCAATTCTCCCCACCCATCATCCCTACCCGACTTTCCGACCCTTTTAACATACACCAATTCAGTTTACTAGAAAACTCCAGTTGACTAAAAATTCTACAGTAAGAATTTTTAATACATAGCCTGAGCAGTATGGAAATCTAAGCTTAGTATTAGGTTGGCTTTTATTATGTCTTTTGTCTCGTGTTACACACTCGTGGAATCACTGATATCCTTTTTATGTATCATCTAGTCCCTTATGGTTTCAGCAAATCCACAGGATTACCCTGCTATCAGTAGCACATGGATTTCATACCAAACAGGCTTATTATTCAGCAAGGATGCTCAAAGTCTGGCCCCGCCAGTCACCTGCCCAGGAGGACTGAGTTATGGGAGAATCCTTCACCTTCCTCAACATTTCTCGTAGTCCTGAGTGTGCACCTAGAAAGAGGTATTTCCTACAAGGCTCATCTTCCAGGCTCCAGGGTTTCTAGTGGGCAGCAGCACTAACTGACATAAGCCACCTCCACACCTGGAAGATGAAGACCCTCATGGTACTGTGCAGACTGAGAGATAGGTAGAAGAATTCCTTTCTAATGGGGAACTCTGTGGACACCCCTGACCCATTAAGCCAAAAGTCAAAGAGCAGTCTAATAAATACATCTGGTTGAAGCAAAGTAACTTGATACAGGAGTGAGACTGTATCCTTGACTCATGGTTTCTCTCTCCTTTTCATCCTATAGCCCTGTACACTATGGTGACTAACCAGAAATGGGCATTCTGTAAATGCTAGATACAAAATAAATAAATAAGGAGGCATTTTTTTTCTAGCTTCAGATAGATTGATAGCCTGTAACTGGGAGAATATGGGCTTGGCAGAATCCTACCTGCACCAGAAGTGAACACCCAGCAGCTGGTGGTAATTCTAAACATCTCACAATGCTGGAAATGAACTCCTCCTCCAGGACCCCCTCTGACATGAGCTCTCTTACAGCAGTGCTTCATCTCTACCCCATCTCACCATCCCCAAGTACATTCAGTCAGTCACTAAGAATTACAGATTCTAACTCTTAAATGACTATAAATCTGGATCATAGTCCATTCCAGAGAATCTGGAAATTCAGTCCAACTTTTCTTTCTAACACCTACTATGTGCCAGAGACTTGTGACCCTAGTGGAAGTCTAACATGTGCTAAATTGAAGTATTACACGGGCCTCTACCTTGCATATGAACTCTAACTTGACCTCCATAGTGTTGCCTTCTCCTAAGGCTCTGTTTGCTTTAAAAAAAATTTTTTTTTTTTAAATATAGAGATGTGGTCTCACTGTGTTGCCCAGGCTGGTTTAGAATTCCTGGCCTCACACAACCTTTTCGCCTCAGCCTCCCAAAATGCTGGGATTACAGAAATGAGTCACCATGCCCAGCCTGTGATCTAGCTCTGCTACTCTGCTCAAAATACTTTAATTCCATACCATTATCTTTAGAATAGTCTCTCAGCATGGACTCCAGAGTTCAAATCCTGAAACTGTTCATTAATACCTACAGGACTGGCCAGGCGCGGTAGCTCACGCCTGTAATCCCAGCACTCTGGGAGGCCGAGGAGGGCTGGTGTCTTGAGGTCAGGAGTTCGTGACCAGCCTCGTCAACATAGTGAAACCCTGTCTGTACTAAAAATACAAAAATTAGCTGGGTGTGGTGGCACGCCCCCTGTAATCCCAGCTACTACGGAGGCTGAGGCAGGAGAATTACTTGACCTGGGAGGCGGAGGTTGCAGTGAGCTGAGTTCGCACCACAGCATTCCAGCCTGGGCGACAGAGTGAGACTCTGACTCAGAAAACAAAAAAAATACCTAGAGGACCTCAGGATATATCTTTGTTAGTCTATGCCTCAGTTCGCTAACCTATAAAATAAGAGCAATAACTTTCCTCTTCATTTTCAGGATTCTCAGGAGTAGTAGATGTTAGTGTTTGCAGAGGGTCTGGACATCACGATAGCTTGAGTGCTAGCCTCTTGATGGCATTAGGATTTCCCACCACACACTCATCCCTTGGAGTTTACTAGGCTGTGTCATCTCCCAAGATTCAGCTTTCATAGCACCTCATGCTGTGACTGTGTTACCATTTGTCATAACCAGACTGGCCTTCCCACCAGATTGAGCCCTCTAGGCAGGCAAAGGTTGTGCCATTTGTGTTCACCCAACAACCTTAAACAGTAGGTACTCCCTCAAGTTGGGTCACAGTGAACAGCCTGGCCAGTCCTGGGAGCTGGCCTGACAAGCAGTGTGGTTACCTGTTCAACCACACTAATAAAAGCCTGTTTCAAAAAAATATTAGGATCAAATACAAAATAGATCTTACGGAGACCTATAAGATGTCTAAAAGTCCTCTCCTAAGTAGAATGCTGGGTACCAGAGGCTGGGAACAGTGGTGAGGATGGGAGATACAGAGGGGTTGGCTAACGGGTACAAACATACAGTAAGATAAAAGGAATAAGATCTGATGCTCAGTAGCACAACAGGACACCTATAGTTAACAATAATTTATTGTATATTTCAAAATAATTAAAACAGCGGAGTTGGAATGTTCCTAACACTCAAGAAAAGATAAATGCTTGAGGTGATAACACCCCAATTACCCTGATCTGATCATTACATATTGTATGCCTGTATCAAAACATCACATTTATCCCATAAATATGTACAATTAGTACGTATCCATACTTTAAAATTAAAAATTAAAAAAAATAAAAGTCTCCTCCTTCTCCACAACATTATCTAAACACATGTGAAACTAAACCAAAGAAATCTTGAGCTTGAGACATTCTGAAGTAGAAATGTAGAAATGCAAGACACCCAGCGATGAGTTATCCTGAAGACTCTTGGCAGCAGATTTCAAATAAAGGAAACACAAATATGACCACAGAAAGATCCTACTTTATTTCTTTAACATCTCTAATTATAATTATTTCAAAACTTCAAGAAATGTTGGTATCAGCCCTTAATTGCATTCATTATTCATTATTTTTAAGTATTATAACTAGGTTTATATTGGCATAGGCTAATACTACAGTTATAGGTACACGGGATTATAAATTCAGATCTAAGTGTCATTAAACTAATATCATTCAACATTTACTTTTTTCCCTTAAAAAAAGACTTAATCTGCTTCTATATTATTGTTAAACTTGTTCCCATATTTGATAATTCAAAATTCATTTCTCAATGTGAAGCATCATCGTTTGAAAACATTGAGCTTAAATGTATAGTCATGTGTTCATGTATCTACATAGAAACATATATTCCCTACTATTGTTATTCTGTTTCAGAAAAAAAACTCAGTATCTATTCATCATGATTTTATATAGAGAAATTAAGAACTTAAGGTTCAATCATCTGTAAAGAGGCAAAATAATTGTGATAACACAGGAATCCTAATTTCTCAAGCTCTAATATCTTCATACCACACCCATCCATTAAAACAGACAAGAGTAAGGAAAAATGCACAAATGATTGACAGGCAGTTTTAACTTGGCACTTGTATATTTGTGAAAGGATTATCTTCAACTTGGTGTATTTACTTTGGTCTTTAATGATTGGTGTGTCCAAGTGGTGAAAGGACGCCACTATGAATACTTGCTTAGTAAGAGAAAAAAATGCATGCTCTGTTTTGCTCAGATGACCCAGGTGTCAAGAATTTGATGGGACGGTTGGGGAGGGGGTGTCTGTCTGTCTCTCTGTCTGTCTGCCTCTCTCACTTACAGGCCTGTCAGAAACTAAACCACTGGCGACAATTCAGCCCTGGGACTCTCACAGAGCTCAGTTAACTGGTTAACAAGAAACAACAGAAACCAAATCATTCAACAGACCCTCTCAGACTCTGCTGACCCAGCAAAGCTCTGCAGATGACAATGGTCATAAGGCGCAGACATCACCAATCATAAAACTCAAACCAAGCACAGGCTCCCAAAATTTGGCAACTTTAGTTAGCTCTGTCAGTCTGACCTAGCTCCTGCTGACAAAATTTACTTGTGACCCTAAATAAGACTAAATATTAAAAAAGTATAAACATTCCTCTTTGTCATTTGTTTCCTCTCTAAAGTTCAACGAGTAAGAAACAATGGGAGAGGCTTAAAATAGAGAAACTGCAGTCTAGATGTGGCATAGTAGTAGATGTGGCTACACCTTGCTGACTGTAATCTTGGGGCTTCCTATTCAAACTGGAGGACAGTAAAGCTCCCAGGATGGAGTTTTTTTTTTATGGTTTTTAAAGTCATAGGCAGAATACTGGCTGTCAAAATCAGGCAAGGGAAAGCATTGATAATTCAGGAGGTGACAGATGAGGGAAAGTGTCAGATGTATAGACAGGAAAATGGATAACATAATTTTCTTTGGGACCAATTAACGTAAGAGCTATTTTGCATACTTTCAATCAGAAAGGTGTCAGTGTTGTCAGAAGTGAAATTTTTTCCTGATGAAAGTTAACATGACACATTCTTGTATTAATGAAACACATTCTGAATTATTTCACAGGAAAGAGGAGAAAAAGCACTTTAAGTACAAATACCATCACAAGGCAAGACTTGGGGACATAAATATTCATGACATATTCCACATGTTTAATTAAGCTCTGTTCTTGATTTTCTTTTCTGGTTTGTTTTTCTAGTAGGAAAGATGCCAAATATTATGAGCTTCTACTTCAGAATTTTAGGCCACAGTGTGACCTCGTATCACCCTGTTTCATTTGGCAAGCAGTATTGTCAAAAATGACATGCACTGATGAAGTAATCATTCATGAAAAAGGGGAAAGGAAAAAAAGAAACACAGGAAAAGTCTTGAAAAGTCATGTGTCTGTGAGCTCTTCTGGTGTCTCACAAGGGTCCCCATGTGTTGAAAGCTGCAGAGCGGATGGATGGGAGATCACACAGACCCTATTACCATAGTTCTTAGACTACTGCCAAAAGAGGAAAGGGCTTCATTACTCCCACTGTTCAGTTTGCATCTGAGCTTCTGCAAACAAACACTAGTGTGAAGGTACTCAGTGGAGGGGAACTTGTGCCATGTAAATCAGGTTTCAGAACCATTAGGAAAAGTAGGTCTACTATATAAGCAAAATGATATGGTAATAATTTTATAAGCCAAAAAAACTCCAAAGAGATGTGTTCCCAATTACACAGCATATTATTATAGATCAATCCTCATTATTAAATGCCCCTTGGCAAGTATTCTCAACATGTTATCCACGTCTATTCACTCAGTTGCTCATAGCTGACAAGCAGAAGAGCTTCCTGTATTTTCAATCTTATACTAAATATTTGTCCACATTTTTATCACATGTACTATATTGCTCCCCACCAAATTGTTTTATTAGTCCAGGACATAAGAAACAAAGTTGATACGCTACTTTTTAAAAAATTTCTCACCTGAAATAGTAACACCCAGATAGTGATGATATATAACTTTTAGTTAGAGGGGAATCAAAACGTCAGAAATCCCTAACAGTTAGAAATTGATCTTATAGAGTAATTCATATAAATTATTTGCTGCAATAGGTATTTAAGATGAGAATTGCCCTCCATTTCTAAATGTGCTATCATCAAAATTAGCTTTAATTTCAAAAAGCTTGTTTTTTTTCCTAAGCTGTAAATAATTATTTAGAAATGGTTTCCTTTTCCTACTTTAGATTAATACTCAAGTCTCTACATATTCTGGCCTCTACAATGATTCACGTGAGCTATTTTTAATATACTACAAAATCTGCATCAGTCTAGTTTTATTCTAGAGAAATTATGGTAAGATCTGTGGGTGGAAAAACAGTGTTTAAGCTTTGGGCTTTGAGAAATTTTTTTTCCAAGATGGTGCTGAAGAACTATTACATCTGAGCGCTCTCATCCTTAATAAAATAACAATGAAGCCATTTAGAACCAAATAAAATTGCTGTAATCATTCAAACAATAGCATTCATGTTAGAGTTAAATTTAAAAAAACCTATCTAAAAGTGAATTCTACCTTAATTGCATGCAATCAACAAATGGGCAAATATATACTAAGCCACAATCAAACAGCCCAAGGATAGACTTACAGCCTCGACAAGTTAATAATGCTCTCTGGAATAGGATGTCAAAGTAGGAAGCTGGCTTATAACTAATCGTTCATGATGCTGAGAAATCACATCATGAATGAAACTAAAGAAAAGTTTTATTTGTGCAAGTGTACAATTGGATCCCTACCAATATGGAGGCCAACTAAAACACAATTGGTGGTACAATTCTAATTACTGCATCTGAACTCTGTTTTGACATAATTCTGTGTGTAGTTCACAGGCTGAAGGATACCACACACAAAATGCATAACGTTCTGATTTCCTATTATCCATCATGCCTCATTAAGGTAAAAAAGCTAAGCTGGGGAAGGAACCAAATCAGAAGAGCCAGTTCTTTTCTACATTAAGTAGTCTAAAGTTAAGACAGATGTCCACCAGGTTTTTTAATGCAGGCTAAGTGAGTGATAAGCTTAGGATAGGCTGGAAGACTGACCTGACGTTGGGAATGATACACTGCCAGTGTGTTAAAATGTTGGACAGTATATATATACATGTATACATATACATACTTTCACAAAATAACCTCTAAACTGCTCCCCTTTCTTAGTGAGGCTAACAAACCCCAAACTGGGGCTTGGAATCCATACTATGCTTACTAAACAGAGGAGAATATGTTTGTCCCAGCAGGGACTAAGCTACTAGTCATCTCTCTCTGACTCTAAGCCAATTCATCTTACTTTCTGAGTCTAAGGCTACAAGCCCTTTTGCAAGTTTCTATGTTGCTTATCCTTGAATCCATTATTGTTTTATGGACATCATCAAGTGTCTTTGCAACTATTCATGTAAAAAACATTGTTAACCTGACTATCCATCAATTAGGAATAAATTAATTGCTGTGTTTTCATATAACAGAACACCATTATGCTTTTAAAAAACAAATTTGACATAGAAACTGTGTATAACCTTTAACTTTGCATATTGTAAAAGGTGTAACCCTTCGTCCAATGAAAAGTGTTTTCACAGAAGGAGATCAAGACTTCACAACCAATTGTCAACAGTGCTAATCCCTAGTTGGGGGGATTGTGAATGCCATTTTCTTTCTTCTTGTTTGTCTGTATTTTCTAATTTTTTACAAAAAATATAAATCACTCTTACAGTTAGAAAAATAAACCCAAGAAGTCTTTTTAAACATTCAGTGCGTCCACTCGGCCTTTTTCTCTCTCCTGTTTTCAAATCTATGATATCACAGCAGGCTTATACATGTTTATCTTTGAATCTATCCTGAAAGACAGAAGTCTAAACATATCAGAGAAAATAAATGATGCCTTTGGAAACCCTTAATTTGCACATCCCGTGGAAATCCCTGCCGCGGTGTTTTCCTTCCACTCCATCTCTTGCCCAGAGATGTGAAGCCGTAAATCACATCTGCTAATGAGGCAGTGCCCAGCGGCCCCCATGTCACCTGTATTTGCTGGGGACTCTGATGGGGCCATCACTAACGTCCTCACAGGGGGTCACTGATGATTCTTTCATGACTCTTTTCCTGACGAGACAGTCACTTTAAAGATTTCTGAGTGTTCTCAAGAGGTCAAAGTCCTCTCCCCTGGTAGTCTGTGCTAGAGAATTTATCTCCATTTGGACAAAAATAAAGACCTTCAAAGAAAAAGGGAAAATGAGAAAGGGGGAAGAAAGAACAGATAACTCTTTCTTGAACATATTGAAAATGGTTTACACATTTTCCACATAACTTTCACCCCTTTGGAGAATGACAAATCCTACAAGACTTTATGTTGATTTCTTGAATAAGTCTAAACATATAAGACAGTTGAAAAATATGTGAAAAGCAAAACTTTCGTGCAAAACTGTATTATCAGTAATAAACGTGTGACAATGAATTAGCTGACACAGCCAACTGTGTGACTTAAGAGCATAGGCCCTGATATTATTCAGATAGAACATAAAATGCTATCTCTTCCACTCCTAGCTGAGACCACAGACAACATGATATAATTTTTCTGAGGCCTTTATTTCCTTATTTATAAAACTAAATGCAATACTGAAAAGGATAAACAAATTAAGAGATTTTAATGTCTGACCTCAATTTAATAATGTGCTTATATGGTTTAATCTCTCTAAAGGTCCCCTAGATATAAAACCATGCTTGCTAATGCTGTCAAAAGGCCCTGGCACTGTGGCTCATGCCTGTAATCTCAGCACTTTGGGAGGAGGAAGCAGGAGGATAACTTGAGGCCAGGAGTTTGAGAGCAGCCTGGGCAACATAGCAAGCCTCCATCTCTATAAAAAAATTTTAAAAATTAGCCAGGCATAGTGGCATGCTAGTCCCAGCTATTTGGGAGACTGAACAGGAAGATCGCTTGAACCCAGGAGGTCAAGGCTGCAGTGAGCTGTGTTTGTGTTCATGGCACTGCACTCCAGACTAGGTGACAGAGCAAGACTGCCTCAAAAAAAAAAAAAAAAGTCCTAGATGTGGTTGGATGTACAGAAACTGGAGCTGAAGTGAGGGGCCACGCTGGACAAGCAGATGGCAGAAGTTGTCTTCTCAACCCTGACTGCTGTTTAGAATCAACAGGTAACTAAGGAGAAGAGAGGTGCCACGGGGAGTTTGTAGAATTTCTAGAGTTCTGATTTTATTGCTCTGAGGAAGGGCCTGGGAATCAGACTCTTTATTTTTCTTTCCACAAACATTTCATTTAAACTAACAAAACTTCTGCTCAAAGGATTCATTTTTTATAATCAACAAACATTTCATTCAAATGAGTGAACTTTCATTCAAACATATCAGTTTTTTAATTCAACAAACATTTCATTTAAATGGATGAATTCTTTTATTCATTTATTTATATTTTACTGAGGTAGAAATCACATAAGATAAAATTGACCATTTTCAATTGAGTGGAATTTAGTATGGTCACAATGTTGTACAATTATCCCCTGTAGCCTGTTCAAAAACACTTCATCATCCTCAAAAGGAAATCCCATGCCCACTGAGCAGTCACTGGCCATTCTTCCTCCTCCCAACCGCTGGCAACCACTAGCCTGCTTCCTGGCTCTGTGGATTTGCCTATTCTGAGTATATGATAGGAATGGAATCATATAATATGTGGTCTTTTGTGACTGGCTTCTTTCATTCAGCCTGTTTTCAAGCTGCATCCACATTGTAGCACATGTCACTACTTTATTTTTTTTTATGGCTCAATAATATTCCACCGTATGGATTCATATGTGGGTTGTTTTCCAATTTGAGGCTACTGTGGGCCGTGCTGCTATGAACATTATGGACATGCACATACAAGTATTTGTTTGAGTGCCTGTTTTTAATTCTTTTGGGTGTATACCTACCTAAGAGTGCAATTTCTGGGTCATATGGTACTTTCCAGATTTAGCTTTTTGAGGAAAATATGTTTTTAAAAAGTTCTCAGCCAGGTGCAGTGGCTCATGCCTGTAATCCCATCACTTTGGGAGGCCGAGGTGGGCAGATCACAAGGTCAAGAGATCGAGACCATCCTGGCCAACATGGTGAAATCCTGTCTCTACTAAAAATACAAAAATTAGTTGGGCATAGTGGTGTGCGCCTGTAGTCCCAGCTATTTGGGAGGCCGAGGCAGGAGAATTGCTTGAACCTGGGAGGTAGAGGTTGCAGTGGGCTGAGATAGCGCCACTGCACTCCAGCCTGGCAACAGAGCGAGTCTCTGTCTCAAAACAAACAAACAAAAACAACAACAAAAAAGTTCTCCAGATGATTCCATATGAAGCTGGTGTTGTGAGAAGTCACTAATGTATAAGATGAATGAGGCCATCCGACACATTAAATGGAAGGCACACGGGGAGATGTGGAGTGGGAATACGATAGGACCAGAGGTAAAACCTTGGGAAAACAACACTTCACAGGCAGCCAGAAAGCCCATAAAGGAGACAGATAACTTAAGGAGAAGAGAAAGGTGCCACAGAAGAAAAAGAGAACCCCTCAAGGGAAGAGCCCTCAACACCAGATGCTGAAAGGATCTGAAAATCAAGCACAAAAGGGAGTCTGCTGCATGTGGCCAGATGGAGACCCAGCTATGCCTTCTTCACTAAGGGCTGGGTTTCAAGGAATTGGGATGTATGTGAGATGCAAAGGAATAGAGGCAAATACAATAACATAGTCTCTTATTCACTATTTGCACTTCTACACCAAAGGCCACGTCTCCTCTCCTTATTCATCCATGACACTAGGAATTTGCAATGTAAATGTCACAATACTTGCAAGCCCACAATAAAAACCTTGGACTGGACCAGTTTACACTTCAACTAATTACATGGCAACACCCCTGCCAGATACAAAGTAAATTATACTGGAGTGCTGACTATATATGCCCTCTCTAGGATTTTAACCATATGGAAAATATTCGGGTACAGAAATGCATAATTAGCAAATTGTTTGATTCTAATTTCAGCAAAATATTTAATAAATTCTTGCATTCCCTTCTTTTTGCTGCCTAAAGTACTGTTTTAGTTTAAAGGTATTTATTTCTATACAACATCACCAATTTCTGAATCAATATTGATAGGAACATGCTTCATGATTTCATAGACCAGTTATTTTCTGAAAAAAAATTACTTCTTTCATTATTAGAGAAATAGGTAACTCTCACAACTATTATATTTTGAAGATGAAAAGTGAAAATTAAGGTCAACTTTATGTTTGAAGCCACATATTAAATTTAGCTTAAGTTTAAATTTTCAATGAATAGTAAGTACATCTGAAGTGTACAAGTGCTTTTTTCTTTTTTTTAAGTACATGTTGATTTTTTTAAAATCTTAAGTATGAGATCAGCCAAGAAATGTCTCCAAGAGCAGGAAAATGATGCACTATCCTAAATTCCCTTTTTCAATTAATGCTTCCATTTTGTAGACTGTAACAGTATTTAATTTGAAATTTCCTCTTTCTGTGCCAATTCCAGTTTGAACTCCCCTTTGAAGTCTTCAAGTATATGGCCTATGAGACACACAAAGCACTGTGAAGCAGTCACAGCAAGAAGGGGAAAAAAGTGTGTGTGTGTGTGTGTGTGTGTGTGTGTGTGTGTGTGTGTGTTTTAGTATCAAGCACCTGGCAAGAAAAGAACATGTTCCTGTAAACCCTTACAGGCATTCCTGGATCTCCCCTGAGAATCCAACGGACTCATTTTGATTTCCCTCTTAAAAACTTATAAGGTTTTAGGGTGTTTGCATTGGGTTACAGTTTACCAGACTTTTCCACGTTGTTACTTGTTTTTGTCCACCAGCGAGTCAGGGGGATGACCCCTTGATCAACAGGGCAGTGGCAGGCAGAAGTGGCTGACTCCCATGACTCACGGCTCTGAGGTAGAGCAGTAACAACCTCCAGTGTGGAGAAATTCATAAAATCAGGTACCCACCTACTCAGCAGCTTTACAATGTAGAAACAAAGGGAAATTTATGAATAAAAGTATTTCCCCACCATTCTTTCCATCCTGTTTTCCATTTGCATAGCCCTAATCTAAACTGCTCAAATAGAACCCAGGAAAGAAAGCACAGGATCAGCTACTTTAAAAAGAGAGCTCATTAGCTATGACACCAAAAGCACAAAAGAAAAAGATAGATAAACTGGCCTTTGTCAAAATAATTTTGCTGCAAGTAATACTATCAGGAAAGTGAAAAGGTAACCTAAAAGGGGAAAAACTGCAAATCATCTATCTGATGAGATACTTGTATCCAGAGTAGCTAAAGAACCCTTATACCTCAATAATAAAAAGATAATCCAACTTAAAAATGGGCAAAGGATTTGAATAGACATTTCTCCAAAGAAGATATACAGATGGCCAATAAACACATGAAAAAACGATCAACATCATTAATCAACAGAAAAATTCAAACCAAAAGGACAATGCGATACCACTTCACATCCTAACTAATCAAAAAGATAGCTAGCGACAAGTGTTAGCATGGATATGGAGGAACTGAAACAATCACATATTGCCAGTGGGAACAGAAATGGTGCAGCCACTTTGGAAAACCATCTCGCAGTTCCTCAAAAGGTTAAACATGGAGTTACTGCATGACCCAGCAACTCCATTTCTAGGCACGTACCCAGAGGAGTCGAAAACCTACGTCCAAACAGAAGCTTGTACATCAATCTTCACAGTAGCATTACACGTAACAGTCAAAAAGGGTAAAAAACCCAAATTCTCATACATTGAGAAATGGATAAACATGTGTTACATCTAAACAATGGAATATTACTCAGCCATAAAAAGAAGGAAGTACTGACACATGAAACAACAGGGATGGAGAGAAGTCAGAAAAAGAACAGGCTAATTAGAGAGACAAGTGAGTAGATGATTGGTTGTTTGGGATGGGGGTGAAGGCGTGCAGGAAGATGGGATTAACTGATAATGGATACAGGAGTTTCTTTACGGGGTGATGAAAATATTCTAAAATTGGTTGTGATGATGGTTACATAATTTTGTGAATATACTCAAAGGCAATGAATTGCTTTCAATAGGTGAACTGTATGGTATGTGAATTGTATCACAATCAAGCTATTCGAGGAAAAGAGAAGGAGGCCATCATAAAACCCAGAAGCAGTGTATTTCAAGGTGCTCTGGCCATTGCTCCCTGCACCAGGTCCCCCACAGCTGCACCAGGTTTCCTGACTTAAAGGTACAACAGACTTGTCACTCATTGTTTCAAACACATTTGAATTTGTCCTCATCCCCATGGTCCCTGAATATCCTGTGACCATAGGCATAAAACTGACATGCCTTTCCACTACTGATGCTCCACTAGCCAGCCCCTCCAGCTCTCTGTGACCTTTGGTGACCACTCATCTTTCTAGTGGTTTACTGTCTTTATAATTCTGTCTGACTTTCAAATTTCTATCAGAACTAGACCTCCACATAGCCAGCAGCCAATGGAATGTAACAATCCCCCACCACTGCCAACTGAAAAAAAAAAACCTTCCCAGGAAGGGAAGAACCTACAAAGATTTCTGGTTAGATTTTACCACAAAAATTGCTATCACATGAACCCGACCAAAGCTCCTCCTTAACTGAAAAGAAATACCCCAACAAACGCCAGAAAAGAAGCATCAAAGCCCCACACATCTTGGAAGTTGAGCTCAGACATGTGCAGTAGGTTGGACCCCAGTAATTTCTCAAAGGGGCTTGAGGCAGTGTTTTTCCAATTTATCCCCCATGGTGAATGTGACTGGAAGCCCTGGTTCTTACTCTTTTTATCTTCTCAGAAGACAATAAACAAAACAAAAATGTAAAAACCACTAACTGCCTCTGCAAAATCTGTGCACCAACAGTTAAAAATAAATTTGTATTTTTGTTTTGCCTTTTTTAGATACAAAACTTTAAACCTAGAATTCCCATGCATCCCTTTCTTTTGTATAAGCACGGGATACAGACACAGCAGAGTGTGAACTGTGCACAGCCTGCAGGTTCCTACCTGCAGCATATGACCGCTTTGCACGAGAGTGCCAAATCCAGGAAACTCCTCCGGACTTCGAAGGAGAGCGCGTACTTCAGGGTGTGGCCATCGATGATCAGGGCCACGTCATTTTCCTTGCCCAGCAAATTCCCAAGGTCAGTGCAGTGCTGAGTAATGGCTGCCCTTGTGGCCTGAAACAAGAGTATAGGGGAAAATCACATTTTTTGTGTGTTTAATATCAAAAACAAAATAGAATTCAAAATTAAGTTTCTTGAAATGAGAACACACCCATTCTAATATAAATATACTATCAGTTCAGCTTTGCACATTTATACATTAAAATTTCAATGCAATGCCCTCTGGGTCTGTTTTATGGGTACAAACATCTTCATAGTGAGATCTGTTAGAAATTTACAATAATCCACTTCTTTACACTACATACACATTATTCTTGGTGCCCCTAGAATAGAAAACTCCATATAAACAAATGTGCTTTTTGGGGAAAGATAGCATTATTGGAACTTGAATGGCAAACACTAACATTTCTCAGTTTGCATAAGATAATCTTTAAAGCATCCAAAAGATAAAAATATGACAAAATATTAATTTTGAATCCTGCTGAGATCTTCAGATTAAACCATTCTCTCCATGCATTGCCAGCGTAAGAAATAAGCTGATCATTTTTCCCATGTTATAGAAAGTATCTAATCAAGTTAAACTGCCAACACCTACCAAAACACTACTACCAGCCTTAAAAGCATCTTGGTGTAATGTCCATTATCACATGGAATTAAAGCACAATAACATTTTTTAGATTTAAAAAAAAAGTGGGCTGGGCACGGTGGTTCACGCCTGTAATCCCAGCACTTTAGGAGGCCGAGACAGGAGGGACTGCTTGAGCCCAGGAGTTCAAGACCAGCCTCAGTAACATAGAGAAACCCCGTCTCTACGAAAAAACTAAAAAATTATCCAGGCATGGTGGTGTGTGTCTGCTGCATGTCTGTAGTCGCAGCTACTCTGGAGGCTGAGGTGGGAGGATCGCTTGATCCTGGAAAGTTGACGCTGTAGTGAACACTGAGCACACCACTCCAGACTGGACAACACAGTGAGACCCTGTTTCTTTAAAAAAAAAAAAAAAACAGACGTTCTTGTTTTCACAGTGAATTTATGACTATGAACAGGATATCTCACTCAAATATAAGAATGTAATTTTGGGCTCATAAAAAATATGGTTTAAGTTAATTGGGAAGCACAGAATTCTGCTGAAATTATTCTGTCTGGAAGACGACTATTAAGTAACATTCATATGCAATTTATTATATGATAAGGTAAATTGCAATCTTAAAGAAATATGTTTAATTAACAAGAATCCTTCTACCTCTAGTAAAATTGAGGATCAGCTACTATTAAAAAGTGAGAAACAGGTTCCAGAAAACTGTCTTATTGTTCAGTGTTTATTCTCAAAAAGTGACTTTTGACAATTTCATAAAGATTTATTTAAGAAAGATGTAGTCTAGAGCCCTGCATTGTGGTCAGATGACCTGGGTTCTAGTCCAAGCTCTCTACTTGTTACCTCTGTGACCTTCAGCAAGACACTTAGCCTCTTTAAATTGCCATTTTCTTATGTGTAAAAAGGAGCTAAAAACTTCATAGCACTTTTCTTATGAACAAATAAACTAATCAACGTAAATTATTTAGCACGGGACTTGGCATACAGCAAACACTCAGTAAAACCCATTCTTCTTCCTCTTACTATTTATTCATCAAGAATTTCCCCTATCTGGGCCAGGTGCAGTGGCTCACGCCTATAATCCCAGCACTCTGGGAGGCCGAGGCAGGTGGATCACTTGAGGTCAAGAATTCAAGACTAGCCTGGCCAACATGACGAAAACCCATCTGTACTAAAAATACAAAAATTAGTCGGGCTGTGGTGGCACGCACCTGTAATCCCAGCTACTCAGGAGTCTGAGGCAGGAGAATCAATTGAACCTGGGAGGTGGAGGTTGCAGTGAGCCGAGATTGCACCACTGCATTCCAGCTTGGATGACAGAGTGAGGCTCCGTCTCAAAAACAACAACAACAACAACAACAACAAAAGAATTTTCCCTATCAAGGAAAATACACATCTCTTCTACTTCAGGCAGTGAATACATGCCATCATTAGCAATGCCTTCTTTGTTAATATAATACAGGCACACCTCATTTTATTGTGCTTCACTTTATTGTGCTTCAAAGACAATTGCATTTCTTACAAATTGAAGATTTCTAGCAACCCTGAGTCAAGCAAGTCGATCAGCACCATTTATCCAACAGCACCGGCTCACTTCGTGCCTCTGTGTCACATTTTGGTAATTCTTGCAATATTTTAAACTTCTTTCTCATGATTATATCTGTTATGGTAATCTGTCATCAGTGACCTTTGATGTTACTATTGAAATTGTTTTGGTACACCATGTCAAAAGCATGGTGCACCATGTCAAAAGAAGATAGGCCAAAAGCTAGGCCTCTTGCACCAGTTAGCCAAGTCGTGAATGCATAGGAAAAGTTCTTGAAGGAAATTAAAAGAGCTACTCCAGTAAACACACAAATGATAAGAAAGCAAAACTGCCTTATTGCTGGTATGGAGAAAGTGGTCTGGAACCACAACATTCCCTTAAATCAAAGCCTAATCCAGAGCAAGACCCTAACTCTTTTCAATTCTGTGAAGGCTGAGAGAGGTGAGGGAGCTGTGTTAAGTCTGAGCCTTAGCAGATATTGGTTTATGAGGTTTAAAAAAGGAGCTGTCTCCATAACATAAAAGTGCCAGGTGAGGCAGTAAGCGCTGACGAGGAAGCTGCAGCAAGTTCGCCAGAAGGTCTAGCTAAGATAATTGATGAAGGTGGCTTCACTGAATAACAGATTTTCAATGTAGATGAAACAGCCGTCTATTAAAAGAAGATGCCATCTAGGATTTTCATAGCTAGAGAGGAGAAGTCAATCCCAAGCTTTAAAGTGTCAAAGGATAGGCTGACTCTTGTTAGAGGCTAATGAAGTTGGTGACTTGAAGTTGAAGCCAATGCTCATTTACCGTTCTGAAAATTTATGCTAAATCAATTCTTAGAAATGGAAAAACAAAGCCTGGCTAACACCACATCTGTTTATAGAATGGTTTACCGAACATTAAGCCCACTGTTAAGACCTACTGCTCAGAACAAAAGACTCCTTTCAAAATATTACTGCTCACTAACAATGCACTGGGCCACCCAAAGCTCTGATAGAGACATCGTTGATGAATGAATGTTGTTTTCATGCATGTTTATCTAATATCCATTCTGCAGCCCATGGATCAAGGAGTCATTTAGAGTTTAAGTCTTATTATTTAAGAAATAGATTTCATACTACCATAGACAGCAATTCCTCTGATGGGTCTGGGCAAAGTAAATTGAAAACCTTTCAGCAAGGATTCACCATTTTAGATGTCACTAAGAACACCTATGATTCATGGGAGGAGGTCAAAAGATCAACATGAAGAGGAGTTTGGAAGAAGTTGATTTCAACCCTCATGCATAACTTTGAAAAGTTTGAGACTTCAGTGGAGGAAGTAACTGAAGATGTGGTAGAAGCAACGGGAGAACTAGAATTAGAAGTGAAGCCTGAAGATGTGACAATGTGCTGCAATCTCATGATCAAACTTGAATAAACGAGGAGTTGCTTCTTATGGATGGGCAAAGAAAGTGGTTTCTTGAGGTGGAATCTACACCTGGTGAACACGCCGTGAACATTCTTGAAATGACAACAAAGGATTTAGCACATGACATAAACTTAGTTGATAAAGCAGCAGCAGTGTTTGGGATAATTGATTCCAATTTTGAAGGAAGTTCTACTGTGGGTAAATGCTATCAAACGGCATCACATGCCATGGATAAATCTTTTGTGAAAAGTAGAGTCAACAGATGCAGCAAACTTTATTGTTGTCTTATTTTGAGAAATTGCCAAAACCACCCCAACCTTCAGCAACCACCACCTTGATCAGCCAGCAGCCATGAATGTCATGGCAAGACCCTCCACCAACAAAAAGATTATGACTTGCTGAAGGCTTAGGCGATTGTTAGCGTATTTTAGTAAAAAGTATTTTTAAATTAAGGCACACACATTGGGTTTTTTAAAGATGTGATGCTGTTGCACACTTAATAGAGTACAGTACCGTGTAAACATAACTTTTATATGCACTGGAAAACCAAAAAAAAAAAAAGATAGTGTGACTTGCTTTATTACAGTATTTGCTTTATTGCTATGGACTGGTCCCAAATCTGCAATATCTCTGAGGTATGCCTGCAATAGACGAAACATTAATAGAATAATGTTCTATGCATAAAAGTTAAATGGACTTTTATTAAAAACAAAGAAGCCAGTCATGGTGGCTCATGCCTGTAATCCCAGCACTTTTGCCAAAGAGGGAGGATCACCTGAGGCCAGGAGTTCAAGACCAGCCTAAACAACAGAGTGAGACTCTGTCCCTAGAAAAAAAGGGACATATAGGCACATAATTGGCCAGGCATGATGGTGCATGCCTGTAGTCCCAGCTACTCAGAAGGGTGAGGTGCAAAGATCGCTTGAACCCAGGAATTGGAGGCTTTAGTGAGCTATAATCATGCCACTGCAGTCCAGCAACAGCCTGTCTCTAAAATAAATAAACTTTATACTTTTTATTGTCAATTAGCTTTGTAATTCTGAATCTCAAACAAGCATCCTGAAAACATCTATGCCTTCCTTATCTAAAACAACAGCCTGCCCTTTAGAATTTGGGTAGAGAGAAAAAAATTACCCTGACCTGGGGAAATGCCAGCTTGGCAGCCTGGGTGTGTTCACCAGGAAATTCAGGTAAGTCTGGGAAATTCTAGAGGGGTGCCTGCCGGGGGTCAGTGTATGAAGGACAGAAAAACCTCTTGAGAAGCACGTCACCAAAGAGATGAGACAAGGTACACAGATTTGGCCCAGGGAGAGCATCCAGGTGCTACAGTAGAGGCCCAGTCTAGCTCAGTGCCAAGTCCCATGGGCCTCCCCACTGGACTTATGCGTGGATCCAAGGAGGGAAAGAGTGAGGAATAAAAATCTCTGAAATGTGGAGCCCATTGCCTGTGGCTTTTTGTAAGAGGGCACAGCATAAATGGAGACATAGGTGCTCATCTTAGGAAGGCAGCTTTCTCCAGTTAGGGTTATTTCTGCAGCACACATGAGGATAGACTGGATGCCAATACATGGTTCTTCTTCCTTGGCAGGAGGAGGAGAGGGACTAGCTTGGCCAATGTGGTAAAACCCAGTCTCTACTAAAAATACAAAAAATACAAAAAAATTAGATGTGCGTGGTGGTGCACGCCTGTAATCCCAGCCACTTGGGAGGCTGAGGCAGGAGAATTACTTGAACCCAGGAGGTAGAGGTTGCAGTGAGTCAAGATCGTGCCACTGCATTCCAAATGGGCAACAGAGCAAGACTCCATCTCCAGACAACAACAACAAAAACCCAAAAATTAGAAAAGTGTGGTGGCACACCCTTGTATTTCCAACTACTTGGGAGGCTGAGGTGGGAGAATCACTTGAACCTGGGAGGCAGAGGTTGCAGTGAGCCAAGATCGTGCCACTGCACTCCAACCTGGGTGACAGACAAAATAAATAAATAAAATAAAAATAAATAAAACAGAGAGAGAGAGAGAGACAGAGAGATCTGAGGGATGTCTCTCTCTGACCTCTTGGTGGGCTATTCAGCCTTACTGGTACACTTTGAGTTACATTTTGCTTGAAAATGGCTGGTTCTCAATCTCAATCCTGCTTACTCTTCCATTCTCTTCTCCCTGCCCTTCATCTGCTCAGATACACTCCTTTGCCTCTGGGATTGAAATCCTCTTCCTACCACTAAGAGCCCTCCAGGTCCATCCTTCTAACGCCACCCTTGACGTGTCTCCAGCCTCTACTTTGAGTTTAATTCCTGCACTTTCCATGCCCACTCGGCAATAATCTTTGATCAAACCCAGACGAGCTGGGTTCACCACACACATGTGGTGGAACATAGGTCCCTTCTGTGCAGTTCTCAAGCGAGCCAATTGAAGGTATTACTATCACAAACAGTTCCTTATTCTCAAATGGACTATGATTCAAGAGTCTATTTGTAAGGTAGTTATTGGGCACTTAGAATCCATTTTCCCAGAGGAACGATGTTACAAATTATGGTTGGATCCCAGGGCCAGTTAATGCCTATTTAGTCCAGTTGCTAAAATTTATACTACAGTCTCTTATTTTAATAAAAAGCCAATTACTGAAAGTTACAATGGACTTAGCTGTTATAAGGGGCATAAAAAGTCAGGGCTGGAGGTTTCATACCCAGAAAGATAAAAAATATTCCAAAATCTTTAATTAGTATTTTGCTTTTAGGTGTTAACATTAAACTGTATATTTCTAGCTTTTGGTGCATGTTCTACAATTGTATTTTCCTTCACAATTAAACAAACGCATAATTTAATGTCGAAAGTGAGTGACTGCTACTGACGACTGTCCCCTACCTTTTTCCCCAGTTTTGTTCTCCTGTGAACTTCACATTTCTTAGCAAGGTCAGCATGGCCTTTGCATTCCCAGTTTATAAATTAAAATTAGGTAATCACCACAGACAGTACCACCTTATAATCTCAGGAGATGTTGTGTGTCTGCTGATTCATAGAGGATCCTCAGAGTTTCATCTGGTGAACCCTGAAAGACGGTGGAAGTGCAGCCCTGCTCAACCTAGGAGTACCCAGGATTCAAAAGGTGGTTCCACTGTTAATCACTTTGGAGTTAATAAACAAGCCAGGAGAGATGAAAACTTCTAGAACCTGGATGCATTTCTACCGATTTGCAGATGGCAAGAGTCTCTCTTCAAAAATGAATGGTTCCAGCACCACTGAAATCTGCACGGGTAGGAGCCCTCTTCCTCCGTCAGCTCGGCAGGGCCACGAGGGATTTCCTAGATGCCATGGAGCAGCAGCTGCTGCAGCCCTCACTTTGATGTCCTGCAAATTCCAGTGGGCTCAGAGCTGACCATGCCCAAAGCAGATGGTTCAGGTTTCACTAGCAGCACTTCAACCACACCATGCTTAGCCTTCGAGTTCCAGAGCAGACTCCCTTCTCCTGCATTAATTGGGCTAGTGAGTAGCTAATGATAATGCTCTTTCTTTATCCCACACATTCAATGCTTTTTCTTCCCCTCCGTGAATCTCTTTCTCCTGTCCCCTGTCGACCATCAGCTGTGTCTTTTCTCACCATCGCCCTCCCCCATTCTTCAGATCGTTCCCTGCCCAGCCTCTCACACCCAGTGCAGCTGCAGTCACCATTTCCCTGCCACTTTCATATTCTTTTTACTATCATGTTCATTTCCAACATAATCACACCTCTTTCTTGACAGCACTAATGCTCTCCATGCTTTTGTATTTATAGAACTTAATGAGTGTAAACGGTAAAATTCAAAGCACAAATATAGCAAATCCACTTTGGGCTAACAAAAGCTGCCAAGGCTGAAGCCGAAGTAATTACATAAGGCCTCCACTCTGGCAGCTGCTGGTGGCAAGTAAAGCTTGTACCTTTTTGCTCTGAATATTGCCTTCTTCCAATCTAGGAATATCCCTAAATTTAAAGTCCATAAGTAGATAAGAGAAATTTCTGTTAAATGTATAACATTTCAAGGACTACCTATAATACTAATAATTCAAAGGAAGACAGGATGATATCTCACAGGCATTAAGCAAACATTTTCAAGAGATGTTTGGCTTCTCACCTGCAAGCACCCAGGTGCCAGTCTGGTACCCTCAGGTTATCTTTTCCCACTTACCCCATGACATATTTCTCTACACTGGCCATCCCTACCTCCCACAAAATGTTTCTATTTCCAAAAAACGAAAAACAAAAAACTTTTATCCTTCTCAGAATAAGCCAACCCAATTTATTGAATTCACACATTCACACTAGCATGTAAGCCTCTACAGAAATACTCTTTTGTTAATCAGCTTTATTAACTGACATACAATAAAGCTGACCCATTTTAAGCGTAGGATTCAGCAGCAAGTTTTGCCAAAGGTACAGAGTCAGGTAACCCCGGCCACAATCAAGATACAGAACACTTTCATCATCCCCAAAGTTCCCTCCTTCCATGCTGCAGACAAGTCCCTTCCCTCACTCCAGGCCCTGCTGACCTTTCATCTACCTCTTTTTACTACAGTTTGGCCTCTTCTAGAATGTTATATAAACAGAATCATAGTTTGCAGTCTCTTCTGTTTGGCCTATTCACCTAGCCTGATGCTTTCAGATTCATCTAATATTAATGCACATGTCAATACTTTATTATTTCTGTTGCCAAGCAGTATTCCAATGTATGAACACAGCACAATTTGTTTAGGTGTTCACCTATTATTGGACATTTGGATTGTTTCCACTTTGAGGATATTATGAATAATTCTTCTATGAATCTGTGTGACTGGTCTCTGTGTAGACTTACGTTTATATTACTCTTAGGTAGAAATCTAAGATTGGAGTTACCCAGTCATACCACACATACAGGCACAAACAGAGCAAGTGCATGTTTAACCTTCCAGAAACTGTAAGACTGTTTTCCAAAGTGCCTGAGTCACTGTGGGTTCCCAGGTGAGCTCACAGGTGAGCTCTGCCACTATTCTTCATGCTCACAAACACCTGCATGCTCAGTCTCCTTAATTTTAGCCTTCCAGTGGGTGCGTAGTATTAGATTTAGTAATTTTAATTTGCATTTCCCAAATAACCAATGGTGTGTTGAAGACCTTCTAATGCTTAATGAATGAACTGAATTTCTGTTTGCTGAGATTTCAAGACATACACCGTGGGATCATTCAAGAATACCAGGGACACACTGTGTGTGCATGGGCTTGCCTTGTCTAAGAAGCTCTCTTGCAGGGTAGCTGAGATACTCTAATTTTAGTTTCTTCCTTTCAAAAAAAAAAAAGTCACAAATTTCTTAAAAACCCACGTTTTCCTGAAAAAGCATCCCATGCAGTGTTAGAGGACAGATTTAGGAAGTGAGATGCATAAGAGAAAACTGGCCATGCTGTTAATGATCAAGTATCATTTGTAAGAAAGAGACTATTTATGCACTCAGGCTCCAGAGCCCAGAAAGTCTGAACACTATTAATTACTACTATTTACTGAAAGAAAATTTAACTAACAGTTGTGACAGGGCTCAAATCGAGGTTAAAAAAAAAAAAACTCTGAAAATATTTACTGTTTTCATTTCTCAAAAGATATTAAATAGCAACCCTAATATGCTTAATTTATTTTTCCCCCAAACTAGATTTTTATTTTAGTACCAGGAATCCTTTTATTTGCTAAACAAACAGATTCTTGAATACTGTTAAATCTCTCAAAAATAATGTATATGTTTTAAGAAGCATTTACTACTTGACTGTGGATTCTTTTTGTAATTTTTTAAAACATGGAATTCTCCTCAAAATAGATGTTTTTTTTTCCTAAAAGAAAATTATTTCAAAGTGTGATCTTCCTACAAGAAGAATGTGAAATCAGCATTTGCAAGCCACCACTCAGCTATGTATAAAATGACCTCCATAATCCCACGGAACAGTTGCTTGTCACACCATTTGCCCAGAGTGGATCTCTAGAAGTCACTGTGTACTTGAGGGACACAATGAATCAATGCCACATTTAATATCATCACTCCAACTAGGAATAGTTTTACTATGAACATAATAACCTTAGCTTAATTGCCCGACCTTTGGGGATTAACATTTTCAACTTTAACAAATAATGATATAGCTATTCTGCTTACTATTTCTAAAGTCCCCTTGATAATTGGAAAAATTATAAAGGGCCCAAACTGAGCACAATGGAGATTACATTTACAAATGAAAAATGAAACTACCAGATAAATTATTTTCTAGACAACTTAAGTTTACAAAGAGCGTTTTTAATGAACTATGTCATTAAGTATATCAGGTAAATTTTACCAAAGGAAGATAAAGGGTTATTAATCTCATTAAGATCTTTATTTGGCTTACAGCGACAAATGTTAATATATGTTCTGTCAGCATAGGCAGCACATAAGCGGTATAGTCATTACAATTTTTGAACTACTTATCTGCTTTAAGACAAAACCAGTTTCTTAAAACACGTGCTAAAACTTTTAAAGCAAACCTCACAGATGCTGTATAAGAAAATGAACATGGTAATCTCAACTTAATTATTTAACTTCCTGACTCTTGGAGATTTAAACTTAAAACTTCAATATTTTGAAGACACAGCCACCACACTTACTGTCTCTAAAGTCCCTTTGACTCTTAGAAAAATTATAATGTGCCCAGGCTGTATTTAGTCTTGTGCAAACAGCAAATGAAAACAGTGACAAATTTCTGAAAGAGAAATAGTGAAGGAAGATCATTTAAAAATATTCTAAATGCATGTGTGGCAGCTGCAGGCTGTGCAAACTGGCAGTGAAGATCATAGCCATAGGACGAAAATGGGAGCACAGGCTCACATTTGGAACCTGCTGAAGCAAAGGCACCAGACAGAAAGGGCCGAAGCTGGGCTGTCCCCCACAGGCTCCCAGGCTGCAGGTTAGCCCACAGGGCGTGGTTCTTGAAAGCCCTGCCAGCAGGACCTTCTTAGGACTCCCTGAATCAGCAGGCGCTGGGGAGTACAGACAGAGTTATATGAGAGAAAAGAACAGCTGTCTACAAATCCTCTGCTATATCAGGAAAATATCTCATGCTCACATAGGACACCGTTACCACATTTAAAATTGGAAATACTTTCTACATGAGAGTCTCCAGTTGGTAATGGCAGTGGCGCACTCTATTATACATAAACTTTAAAAATCAGTAAGTGAAAAAAATAAGCAAAAAATGTAGAAAACATCTCATTTCCACGGTGGCCTCAGCACTGCAGATACAGTGAGGAAGAAGTCTTATCTTCTCCCTGACACACACACCTGGCCGAAAGGCTTCCGGCTGTGTAGAACCCGTAACGAACTAGGGTGCGTGAGGGTGGGCTTTGGGGCAGGTTGGGGCTCTCCTCACCATTCTTTATTTTACACAGACTGGCAAGGAGGGAAGGTCATGGAGACAGATGTTAACACTGAAATACAGAGCAAGAAACAAAATCCTGTAATTAACTCTTAGGCAGGAAAGGCCTATAATGTGCACAGGATCCTAGAGGCCCAAGAGTTTCAGAATGAAACAGCGACACAACAGCACAAAACAGCCACACAACAGCACGAAAACAGCCAAAGATCACCGCATGTCTGGCTGTTGGGGCAGTGAGTATCCCAGGCCTGTAAAGTATGGTGAGCCACAGTCTCGTGTCAGGAAGGTGCTGGAGGGTGGGGACTCTGGCAGGCTGGGAGGAAGCACTTGGACTTCATCCCAGAGTCTACAGGGAGCTTGTGAAGGTTTGTATGGATAGAAATAGCATACTTGAATTTTTATTTGTAGATCACCCACCACAGTATGGAAGATGGACTGGAACAAGGACCCAGCCAGTTAAGGAGGCTTAGAATGCTGGGAGCCTAACCTCTGCCTGTGGTATCACCTCTGCCTGTGATAACAGACAAAACCAGGAAGTGTATTTACTAAAAAGAATAAACAGTGCTCGGTGAATGGTGAGAGGACCAGAGAGGAAATGGGAATAAGTAATAGGCATGTGGCCAGCAGAAAAAGGAGCCAATCTCTAAGAAAGCAACAAGTAAGGAACTGGGGAGGGGTGGGGACCAAGTGACCGCAGATCAGAAGTCACTGAATATCAACGCCATGGAGAGAGAGCTGGCTCTTTCGTTTAAGAGCTGCCTACTGCTCCCCTCGATGGCAGTGGGAAGGCCTGCTGGGATGTGGGGGATCAGGAAGCTTCTCTAGGCCCTGGAACACTGAGAGCTGCTCTCTAGGGACACTGCTGTGCCTGGACAGCCTGATGAGAGTCACTTCCACCACTATGCCCCCATTAGTGTCTGTAAATTTCAAATGAACATCCGGCAGCTGTCACTTGCTCTTTGTGGATCATATAACCTTTCAATCAATGTTGGCTGAAGAATGGAAAAAGAGATCACCTGGGTCATTTCCTTACTGCTCCCACTGGGTGAAAAAAGCAAACAAACCAATCACCTAGCAAACAGCAGGTGCTGAAGAAATGCTTGCCACCCCTTGTTTGGGGACTATCTGCTGCCTCCTGAACTCCTGACCCCGGCCAGAGCACTCTGCTCATGGCCGCTGTGGGCCATGTGCTCTCCTCTGCTCCACGACTCCCTTCTTCTTTGGGGCCGTGACAAGGGCCTTCTGATGACATTTTGGAAAGTATTTGAGATGTTAGCTTGGTGGGCCATTCATACAGTCAGTAAGCAGTCATGAAACATCGACTACAGGAACACAGCTGTGCACAAAACTCCAAAGGCCCAGCTCTCAATGGGCTTACACATTAGTGAGGGGACAGACACTACACAAATAAAAACAGAACGCGGTGTCATGAGCTGTTAAGAGCCGTGGATGAAAACCAAGCAGGGTTTAGGAAGCAGGATTCCATCAGAATCCTGGGCATTCAGAGCCGCAGTCAAGAAGACTGAGACTTACCTGAGGGTGGAAGTAGACCAGTTTGTACTTCAGTGCACAAAAGGTCCTGATGGCGAATTTGAGTGGCCAGGAAATACAACCAGTAGGTTGACAAGAGGTTAACTGTTCATCACATTAAAAGAAATATTTTTAAGCCAAAATTTAAAAGCCAAGAGATTCCACAAGAAAACTCTGTTATCTAGCTTCTCTTGAAACATTACAGTGTCAGGGAGTTCTGAGCCCATGTTCCCACTGAACTTGTTACCCCTGAGAAATAAACACACGTGCTCTTGGCCAGGTGCTTCCCAGTGTCTACTGCCTCCCTGATACTGGGATACTGAGTGTCACTGTCACTGAGCATGTACAGCTTGTTTTTTTCCTCTGGACCCACCTCCCCATTAAAAGTCAGAATAAAGATGACCAAGGCAGCTATAAGTTTCTGGTTTGGAGACAGAGGTCTCCTTGGAGCACTGCATCATGTTCCTGCCCCTCAGGCCCGTGACGCATCCGCTCCTTGTGAGCCCTATTCTCTCTGATTTCCAACAGGACAAAACTCATCCCAAACAGTAGTCCAATCAGGCATCCCAAATATAGCATGCCCCAAACTGAGTTCCTGGTTCCCTCCCTCCCAAGCCTGCATGGCCCTGCATGGAATAGTTATGGAACACCACCCAGAGAAACACAGCAGTGATCACTTCTGTCTCTTTCAGTCCAGGACAGCTCCATGCTTCCAGGTACTCACACCAAGGATATCAGAATCATTCTTCTTCCTTTCTGTCATACCCCATATATTCAATCAATCAGCAAACAATGCCACCTGTGCCTCTGAAATGCATCTAGACCCTGACCATATCTCACCTGGCCACTGCTAGGGTCACCCTCCCTCACCTGGACCATCAGAGCAGCCTCCTGAACTGTCCCTGGGCCTCCACCCAGCAGAGAAACCCTGTTACCATGGAAGGCAGGTCCTGTCACTACATTCAAAGTCCTCCAAAGCTTCTGGTCTCCATCTGAATAAGAACCAAGTGCCTTCTGATGGCCAGCGAGGCCCAGCACCCCTCTGACCTCCTCTGGTGCCAGAGCCCCAACTAGCTTTCTGCTTTTCTTCTAATAGGCTGACCTGCTGCTCCCTTGCATCCATTCTCCCAGATTTCCATGCAGCTCACCCCACCTCAATGTGGCTTCTTAGGGAGGCCCTCCTGAATGCCCCCATTTAAAATTACACTTCCCCATGCAAACTCCTTATTTCCCTTTCCTCCTTTATTTCCCTTGGGGCATGTACCATGTCCGTCTTCTACATCTTTTACTGACACATTTTGCTCACTGTCCACCCTCCCCACTAGAGAATCAGCTGCAGGGGCCAGGATTTCCTGGCTGACTCTTTCACAATTGTATATTCAGGGCCGAGGGCACAGCCTGGCTTGCAAAGTATATTCAAATCTTTACCGAATGGAAGAATGACATAAAAAAGGTAAAGATGGGAAACAGGGAGTCCAGTTCAGAGACTATGCCAACACCCATATATCTAATCGGCCTGGACGGAGGGAGCAGCAGGACTGAAGCCTTTACAGAAGCAAAGGGGACTGGGCTCAGTAACTGAGTGTGAGGCCTGGGCAGGGGCTGTGTCTAAGGCTGTCACATCCAACTATGGCTTATCAGCCTTCATAGAGATGGAGGAGGCCAGAGGGCGACAGGATAGGAGGGGTTGGGGAGGAACCACAAGCAGGAGGAGTCAATTTGTAAGCAGGTTATTTAAATGAGTTGATTAATCTATACATTAATACATTCTTCTCAGGTATAATTCAAAGCCTAATAAACTCCTCCAAGACAACTTTCAAGGTTTAAATTATTTCTAAATGTAATAAGCCCAAGACTCAAAAGAGCTCAAATTCACTCAGTATATACACTACAGGTTACACTCCATCCTCTGGAACAAAAGGAAAGTTACAAACACCAGGAATACGTGGGAAATGATGATTTGCAGAAGACCAGAGTGTCCCCAGTGCTTGAAACTATGTGAAGAACAAAAAAAAAGAGAAGTGGCTCTGTTTTCCAGACTTACATTTAATAGGTTCTAAATCCAGCACAGATTTGACCTTTGCTTTAAATAGATTTTCTTGGAGAGGAGGGAAGAAAACATTGATTCATCCGAGACTCCTGAACGACCTACTGTTCACATTACTTGGAATAAAGTCTGCTTTAAATCAGAATTCTTGAGACACAGAAATAAATATACCAAGAGGTTTCTAATTTTGTGCTTTCACCAACTGATTATTTTCATTCACAACAGTGGACGAACTCGATATGGTCTTTCCATGGAGGCCGAGCAGAGCACACGGCAGAATCAATCAGATCAATGCAACCAGGCTCAGCCTTCAGCTTGTCTTGAGATCAACACTTCCAATTGAAAAAATAAGAGAAGTATGTGAAATGGAGATGACTATTCAGGGCTTTCCAAGGCCTGAGTTAATTTAGCAACATTTGAGGAATAAAGGAAACGCAGGAGCAAAAATATTTCCAGTAAGACTGAAAAAGGTTAAACCAGAATCATTCACTACTAGGACTGTTCACACAGTAAACCTGAAACATACAAACTTCCCACTCTGCTAAGCGCAGTCAATAAGATCAACGTCACACACTCAAGGGCTAACTGGCTGGTTAATAATGTTATCCTGGGCGGAAGCCTTTTTATTATATCTTATTCGTTAGAAATTTTGTTTCCTCTCAAACCTTTTAAGCATCTCATTGTTCATTTTATATCACAGTCTTAAGACAGTTGGAGAAACAAATAAAAATAGAAATCAAATAGAAATCTCCTTTACTATTTGATTCTCTTTAAGGAAGAAATATGAAAATGTACTTTGTGTTTGTGTACCATGCAAATAAATGACCCAAGGGCACCAGGCAGGTAAAAAAGATATGCCAGGACATTAGGAGTAGTGAGGACTGTGGCCAACTGGAAAGTGCCTGTCCCCACCTAACGATATTCACAGTGCAGTCCAAACAAGACACCACTGTAGGCTAAACTTGGCCTTCTTGACCATCAATTTGCCACAAAATCAAGAATGACTAGAGACTCATAATAAAAAAAAAAAAAAGGAAATGATGGCTTGGATAGCATTTTCTTGTTGTTGTTGAAACTCTGAACAACACTTGAACAGGCTTTCACAGAAGCCACCATTTGTAATTCCGCACGGCTCCTACCTCTCCCTACTGGTTAAAGGAAAGCAAGGGCATCCTGGCACTTCAGTTGAGATGAGAATTCATTCGTGCCAACCATCATTTCAGAACTCTAATGACAAGAATAAAATACAAATGTGTAGACTGAAACCCACAGAAGTATTAGTCCACACACATAAAACTACACACAAAATCTAGTAGAATTATAAGACTCTACTACGAAATCACGCATTTTAAGAAACTTATGTGTCTAGAACACTAACAAGCAAGAGGACCAACTGCAGTCCACAGGGACAGTGGTGATGTAGGAACTGCATACAAATCGCTCACTACAGTCTCAACCACAACCTCACCTTGGATGTTGCAGCTGCTACAGGCTTAATGTCTAAGGGCAATGTGCTAACGTGAGGCCCCTCCTTCCAAGTTGTTTCCTGGTCTATTTCATCCTATACACCATTACTAAAATAACCTCAAATTGTAATATCAGCAAGTCATTTTTCTGCTTATGATCTTTCACTCTCTGTGTATATCTTATCAAATGCAATACTTAGAGATCCAATTAATGCTTACTTTCCGGGGTTGTTTTATGTTTTACATTATTAAAGCTTTCAACCTTTTATGGTAAATGACCACAGAATCTCTCCCTAATTGCATGAAGAATTTTTTCCTGAAAACCCAAAGCAAGCCTATTAGGTGTAAAAGAAGGCCATAAATGTATGTGAAACCAGCCAGAAGGGAACTGGCTTATACTGCAGGCCAACCCTGAGCTCCAACCCCTGTGAGAGCACTACTTCATAGTCCTAAAAGTAATCTACCCACCTGGGGCAGGCGGGGTGGGGAGTTCAGGGGATGCTTTAATGTTGTTGTAAACCAATACACATATGTGAATCCTCAGGGTAGGCCTAGCAGTACAAGAACTTTGGGGAAAGACATCCTGCAGCTGAGAACCAGGTTCAACATTCTTCGGGCTGTAACTCAATCGGCCAGCCTGCAGAAACTCAGCAAATAACGGCTTTCTGGAGAAAGCGAGCAGAGAAGCCTTCCAGAGAGTCAGTGGTGTGCCCCGTCAAGAGAAAACTCGCAATAAAGGAGGTGGAGAAAATTACTCTCGTATGAGCTTTAAGAGTCTTCATGACAGATGAGGAGAACTGTGGCCAATTAAAGCAATGCACCAACTAAGAAAAACAGCTGCCGGGGAGCATGCCAGGCTGCTCCAGCCTCTTAGGCTGGAAGGTGACTGAAGTCCCAGACTCAGACTCAGGGGAAGGATTTTATGCCTGATTATCATCTCTCAAAACTATAAGGTGTTTGCAGAGGAGGGGGGAGGCACGATCCGATTAACAGGGAAACCCACAATAAGAGTGGAAGGTCAAGAAGATGGGCCATGGCAATGGAGTGCGGCTAACAGATACCAGCAACTTCATGAAAGCTGCATGGCACTTCTTACTACAAAAAAGAGTCTGAATTACAGAGAATGGTGATCACGGGGTTTTTGGTGTGTTTTTTTTAAATTTTGCTTTTCTTCCACTATAGTTATGCACAGAAATGGATACACAGTAATTTTGTTTCTATCTGACGCGTTTTTCTTCAGTGCATCAGCCAAGGACCGCAGTGCTCTCTCAGCCTGGGTTCTAGTCCAACGCCGTCACTCGACGGGGACCCATCACTCTTGTCAGTTACAGGGCAAACCAGACCACATCCAAGGCAGTCAGTCCCAAGTCTTCGTTTGTTCTCAACTATTTTCAAGGACAGATAAGAATGGAACAAACCACTGAGGGTTGTTTCCCACCCCCAACAACATCTAAGATGATCATTTTCACACATCTTTGGCACATAAATCATTTGGAGGTGTTTTCAAAGAGTTGTCTGTTTTGTTTTGGTAGAGAGAGGGAGCTAAAAAGAGAAAAATTAAATACTCATATCTAAGAAGGAGGAAACAAACCTGTCCACAAGTTCAGACTACCTCTATTTTTCTTTTTCCACCAGGAGCCATTTTTTGTTATTGTGGGAGCAGCCATTCCCGTAATCTGCCTGGAGACGTCTCGGACCAGCTCCCTGCCTGCACGTTTCCCTGCGTGGACTGAACAAAAGGCACCAATGCCCTAACCCTGCAGCGTCAGGACTGGAGAGTACACACAGCACATGCTATCATCCAGAATTATATACCTGCCAACTCCTGAAGAGTGTGGAAAAATTAAAGTAAACACTATGGGGTACGCAAACATTTAATTCTACACTCAATATGGGAAAAATCTTCTAAAACGTTAGCATTAATCCCAAAATCACTTTCCAATGCAGGAGAAGCTCCAGGCTAACAAATTAAAAACATTCATTTTCATCATATCCAAACTGGAGTCATGGGAGAGGGAGAGACAGTCAAGCATGCCGGGTATCTGGACACTCCCTACAACCTCAATATTGTCAAGTCTGTTTCCTTGAACCCAGATTTTTCTTTGCTTTCTTTTTTCTAAACAGTTCCCCAAACCCTTCAAAGACTTTTCTCCAGAAAGCCATTCTAGAATTTCTATTTTTCCTAGAGGACCTTGCAAAAGGAATTAGTCACTTCAATTCCAATTGTTTCCCTCTCTTCAGAAAAATATACTGAGTTGTATTGTTTGATTGAGTTGTCTGCAATTAGAATTCTTTTGTGCAGGGAGTGGGAAGCACCTTGACCCAATTCAACCTGAAGTCTTCCATGCTATTTAAATATACAGTGTCCCTTTTACAATATCTCTAAAAGAAACCAAGCGCCCACACCAAGTACAACCTAAACCCAAATGCCAGGAACTGACAAGCCTGGGCCGCTGAGATAAATACAAACATGGTTGTAGAGGGCACCTTGATGGCAATGGCAAAAGCCTCTCACTTTGCTTTCAAAGAGACTGACGTACAAGGAGCCTTAGGATGACAAGAGCAGTTAGCTATGAAGGCTACAGAACACTCCAGAACATTCCCCTTCTGTTTTCTTCACTCTATCTCTCCATGTTGTTCTCCAAATTTTCAGCATTGCATCCATGATTCTACCACCCTGGTCTCCATGACCTTCATTTCTGCTTCCCTTGAGCCATGGTGTCAGTTTCCCAGGGCTGCAACAACCAAGTACCACAAACTGGGTGGCTTAAAACAACAGAAAAGTACTCTCTCACAGCTCCTGGGGCTAGAAATCTGAATTCAAGGTAGCCACACTCCCTCTGAAACCTGTAGGAAGGATCTTTTCCTAGTCTCTTCCCCACTTCTGGTGACTGGCTGCCAATTCCTTAGTACACAGCTGCAGCTAACTTCCATCTCAGCCTCCATCATCGCATGGTGATCTCCCTATATGTGTGCATCTCTTCTTTCAGAAGAACATCAATCATTGCATGAAAGCCTCAACTTATGAACTCATCTTAACTAAGCTGCCATGATTCTATTTCCAAACCAGGTCACATTCTAAGATACTGTGCAGGGGGGTTTAGGACTCAACAACTCAACGTATCTTTTCAAGGATGCGATCCAACCCACAAAAGCCACACAATTAGCACGGTCACACCAAGAACGTAGAGCATGAAATTTCTCTCCTGTTCAATTTCTGCCCCCACTTTAATTCCACCTGTCTTGTTTTGCAAAAGTGTTTTGTTCTAGAAGCTACTGTGAATCACTCTAGACTGGTATTCCTCAGCTTAACCCACCTCTCCAACTACCTTGAACTTCATGAAAACTGATGCTGTCTTAATCCCCTTGACCTCCTATTTTTCCTAATCCGCAATCAACAATCTATGTTCTCAACTCAATCTATAGAGCATCAAAGGAGAAAGACACTGACAATATCAACTGGTCTCTTCATGTCACTAACCTGGAATGGGCCCAGGGTGGTATCCTTCGCCCAGGCCTCTCCAGATCATCCTTAACAATGACCACCTTTGTTTTAGGGCACTGATTCATTATTTCAAAATAACATATTCAAATCTTTACTGTGTGCTAGTAGACATTTAGCTTATGTTCAGGTGTCTATGGTATACAAGATTAATACAATCCCTAAACTCCAAGAATTGAAAGTATGTGAAAAATATGAACACATAAACATGTAGTGCTGACAGTCATAAGTGTCATGGCCACCATACAAGCAGTAAGAAAACTACGCTTACCTTGAGGAAGACCTAACACCCAAGGAAGTCAAATCGCATTATCTGCCCCAAAGTTTATCCCTGGCCTTCTTCTAATGCTACATGGCTGCCTGGGTGATAACATTCTGTTGCAAAACCTCAAACACTGCTTCTGGTGGCTGGCTTCCAAACTCAGTCTCAATTTTTTCACTGTGCTTACAACCAGAATGTCCTGTTACCATTTTTTATCAGGATGTTCCAGTAGTACAGAGAATTTAATAAGTCCAAAACAAAGCCTATCATCTTGATTTCCAGTATTTCCCTCTTTCTGCCTCTAGGTTAATGTTGCCACCATTCTCTCAACCATTCAAACCCAGAATCCTACTATCTTTTACTAGCCTTCATTCTCCTTCATCCTATTGCCTTCCTCCCATTGCTTACCTGGTTTCCAAGTGTAATTTTAAAATTCTTACTAGAAGCCTTTATTTCTGTTGTCTCCCTAATTTTTCCATTATCATATTCTTGATTCATGTTGTCATTAACTCACAGTGATTACTGTAAAGACATCTTCACTGAGTTGTCTTTCTTTGCCCCTGAAACCCAACTTATAAATAACTTGCATTTTTGTAGCATGTTACAGCTTACTGCATGCTTTCACATACATCGCTTTCCTCCACAAAGCAGCCTCCAGTGACAGGGAGATTAAGAATTATTCTCCTCATTTTATGAGGAAGCCTTAGAGGTGAACTGACTTGCCCAAGGTCACGGAGCAAGTGAGTGGCACAGCTACAATTCAACCCCAGGACTAATTTCCAAGGTAGGGCTTTCCAGCTATCCTGCTGCCAAAGTTGTCTTTCCAAACAAGGCTTTACCAGGTCTCTGCTGCATAACACGTGTGCTGGAAGGCAAGCTGCCACCCAGGAGCTGTGTTGCAGAGCTGGCTCCCTCTGCTTGACTCCACCAGTCCTGCCCTCCTGCCTCAGAAGAACCCCACCTGCTGGCACACTCTCAGGGCCACAGGCAGCACTATTGAAAAGTGCTAGAGCTGCCCCAGTGGCATTTACCTTGGCATCTGGGGTCTAGGTAATTCAATCAACTCAGCAGCTCTCCAGTGGGGCCTTTTAATCCTATAAACTCAGCAATACTCCCGGCCATATCCTCCACCTGCTGCCAGCCTGTCACTAAGTGCCTCTACCCTTCTCCCCAGCCTATTATCTGCCTTCTTCACTTGTTGCTGAAATTACCGCCTGAGACACAGAACTCTGTTTTCCCCCATACTCCACAACTACTAGCTTGGTGAGCCCAGCTTTCCCCACAGAGGCAACAAGTGTTTAACAGAATCCATTAATCATCAAGTGCCTTGACAGGTGCTAGGGACACAGAGTTGAAGGCCAAGTTCTTGTCATCAAGAACCACCTGCACCTCTATTACTTATCCACTCTATCTTCTGGGTCGTCTGAGCTATCATGAGTCATGTTCTGTTCATCTTAAAGTTCTTACATTCCTGCATTCTTTCCATCATTAAAATTTGACTTTCTGTAAAGGTATTACTTGCCTCATAACCCTCTGTAATATCCCCCACCCCCTCTCATTCGCACCAGATCACCACAGTGCTCCTTCCAGAATCTGTGGACCACTAACTCTCATCATCATTCCTTAAAGTCTGAAGTCCACACTATTCACTAACACCCCTGTTCCCATCTGCTTTGCCATGAGTGAATCCACTCCTTCATGTTCTCTTTTTGAGGACAAAGGAGACTGAAATGTTTGAATTCAAACACAGGCTGAAGACCATGAGAAGACAGTCCCCTATAGAAAACTATAACAGAGAATACAGGCCACCTATCTCTCTCCCGTTGTCCTCTATTCACCTTACCCTTCACCAAGATCAAAATCTTCTATACTCCTCAAATTAATCTTCATGTTCACACATTATCCCAGAGCTACCTGGACTACCTCCTGTCTGTCCAAGTGCCATGCCTTCTTCAGAAGGGAATTAAATGTCTCTCCACCACCACCCGGGTCTCACATGAGTTATACCAACATGGATTTTCTTGACTACCTTCTGCATTCTCCCTTCTGGTAAATTATATTCAATATCTACAGATGGCAAAATTTGGGCAGGTTTACAGGCCAGGCTAAAGAGTTCACATTTAAAGTCTTAAAGAAATTGAAAACCATTATGGATCTAATCAATGTTGTCCAATAAAACTTTCTATGATGCTCGAAATGTTCTGGACTGTCCACAGGTGCCTACTGAACACTTGAAATGTGGTGAGTGCATCTGAGGAACTAAAACCTTGATTTTATTTAACATTAATTAATTTGAGTTTAAACAGCCCCATGTGGCTAGCAGAGACCACAGTGGGCAGCAGACTTCTAGACTAAGCTGATGCCACAATAGAAGAGTTTTTAAAAGGTGAGTCTGCTGCAGTAGGATGGAAGATGGTGTGCAGGGCATTTAGCAAGAGAATCCTGTCCCAGGCAATGATCTGGCCCAGAGATTTCCCTTCCTCTGGAAAAGAAAATAAAAATTCCTCTTCCCAATAACAAAGGCACTAGGAAAAGAAAAACAAAAAAAGAAGTTAGAGGTTTCCTAAATCCCTTCAAAAGAGCAAGACTACAAAACATAAGACACCTTTTTGTTTAGGAGTTTTAACTTGTCAAATTGGGAGTTCCCTATTGAATAACTCTACCAATAAGAGATTTTAATCGACTACAGAGAATACTGGCCTGTATTCTCTGTTATAGTTTTCTACAACATGTATACAAGTATACATGTATACTTTCATCAAGTCAAACACAAAAACAGTTTCCAGAAGGAATATATAAAAATTTTTTTTAAAAAATCACTTAATGTGTTGTCTGTCTTTTCCTTTCCACTTGGCAAACTTCAACCTTTTTTACTTTGGCACAGGTAAAATAAGAGCTTTCTCGTGAGGCAGAGTGAAGCTGGTTGAGCTGGTTGGGTAGTGTGGGGCACTCACATGCAATAAAGTGTGTGGCCAGGACAAGGGCTGCAATGTCCTGAGGCAGAGTTCACGTGTGGTCTCAGAACTCAATTAGATGTTACCCTTCTGCAGACCCCTGAGATGACCTGGTTATTTCCCTGCCATCCTCCACCTCTCATGAGGTCTGCACCTTTCCAGGACAACTCAAGCCGGGGGAAGAGCTACTGAGATATGATGTACTGAGGATAGCAAATGTAGAAATATCTAAGCTAGATGAGGGAAAAAAGAATCTAGCTCATTCTTCCCCAAATGCCTGTGAATATTAAAAGCATTTTAAAGACATCTATGCTTATGATGTCAAGTCAGAAACATATTCTCTAATTTGAAATTCCAATTTTCTGATCCAGACCACCAATCAGATCACTTGCAGTTAACCACTGCCTACCTATTAGAATATTTATCCTTCAAGGCACTACTGATTCTTAAAATATACATATACATTTTTTTTTCTTTTATTAAGATACAATATTTTACACGCTTATGGGTTACATGTAAGTATTTTTGACATGTATAGAATAAGGATCAAGTCAGGATATTTGGGGTCTCCAATACCTTGAGTATTTTTCATTTCTATTAATATATGATTGTAAAAATAATTTAATTATGTTAATTTGGTTTCTATAACATGAATCAAAGGGGGAAATGATTAATTATGGCATTTCAACTTAAAATGTCATTTTTTCACATGCAAAGCCCTCTCTGTAACTCCATCAGCAGCATCCAAGCCTGCCTGTCAAAGGTGAGCTTGTCCAACCCATGAACACCGGCACAACCCAGGAGAGTATTTTCAATACTCTTCCAAACATGTTCACTCTCTGAAATACACTAATCACAACAAAATTAAAGCCCAGATCTTCCAGAACATGTTTACATGATATTCTTGTCTTGCTACTTAGAGTGTAATGATTTCACATTCTATTAAAAGAACAAAAGATATTCACAAGAAAAGGTTGTGTTATCCCATTTCCCAAAATATTAAAATAAAAAGCTATCTGATAAAACTTATTATTTACACATATTTGCAAGTGTCTGAAAACAACTGGAGGTATTTCCCAAGGTACACCTCTACACCAGGCCTGATTTGATTCTGTCTGCCCTGTTCTACAACTCCTCTATCCACTAGGCTTGATTTTGACGGCGTAAATGTGTAAACACAGGATGCCCTCTGGAAAGGAAGAATGCTAGACATTTTTAAGCACTTAAAGATTGACAACTGCTGAGCAGTGGCCCCCAGAGAAATTCAACATGGTTTCCTCCACCTGGTATTACGGGTCATGCAATGCAAATCCAAAGAACAAAGCTGACACTATAGAGGTAACATTGCTGCCATTCCAAAAATTCTGCACTACTAGGGCCCCAAGGCTCCACCATGTCTGCTTCATATGCTCACCTTTACAAAAGGCAAACAATCTAGCTGTACACTCAGACAAGCAACTGAAACTTAGGGGCAAAGGGAAAAAGATAAAACAGGATGACTCGCATTTGGTTCCAGAATGCACCCATTAAAACAGACAACAGAAAGAAGTAAAGGGTCCTTCTAGACTTACGTCCTTTTGGTGACTGAAATTTGCTTTCAAACTACTCAGTAGCACGACCAGCAAACCTGCTATGTTCAAAAGCTCAAAATTATCTTTTGAAGGCGAGTGAGAAATAATTTGGATTTGGTTTAATTCTATAAGCAAATTCTTACTTCAATACCACTCCCATTCTGTCCTATTTACTATTGTGGTCATTCTAATTTTGAAAAAGTATTCAGGTTTTGCACTCCTAATAGTCACTACACGGGAGGAAACGTACTGTTGAGGATCTCCGGGTGGGGAAAATGTGCCAAGGAACACTCTTCCCCTCAATGTTTCAATTGCATTTAGCTCTCCAAGTCTGATGGGAATTTTATGCTCTTTAGAGAAAGGAGGAATTTGACACTCAAGTCTGTGGCAGGCACTGCAAAGCACTAAATACACCACTTCCCTGCAGCCCTTGCAATGAATCCATTCTAATCCTCTCTTGGTGAAAAGGATGGGCCAAGAGGCATCAGAGACATAAAAGCCAGCTTGCCTCAGCCAATTCCAGAGACCTAATGATCTGGTTTGGGGGCCTAAAGCTAACTGGAATGGAAACGATATATTATTGAAGGATGCATAATTTATTGAAAAGCCTATTTTGCACACTCACTTTCATACATGGTTGAAAACAAAAAATAAAGCAGCTAAAAGAGCCAAAGGTCCTTATAGATTTAGTTTTCGGGGGGGGACACATCTGGACCCTCATAGGAGTTCTGAGAAGACAACATGGCCAGGATGAATTTGTTCACACTAGCCTAAACAGGGGCAGAGGTTGGGTGGCTTCTCTAAGTGTGGAAACGTTACTTTGGGCCAGACAACCTTGAATGGTTGGCTTTTAACTAAAGACACTAACACCACAATATTTCCTAGACCTTCCCGAAGTCTCCGTTTATGGCAGGATGTAGCCATGGTGGAACCAAAGCCAGGTAGGATTCCATGACTGCAATCACACTGCCGAGTTTCCTCTGCTGAACCACAAAAAACAGCTTGTTGAAAACATTAGCTTAATGATGACAAAGCGGCATATGGACTATGTAATTTTCACCAAATTTTTGTACCATCTTTCACTTTTTCCCCTAAAATTGTTTCTTTTTCCCCTCCTTTCCCTGTGCAGAGCCAAGTCTAACTAGGACCACACAGGCAAATAAAATTATAAATACATCTGAATTACTGGACTCATTTTATAAGTTACTTCAGTGGCTGGCTTTCTTTCCATTGCCGTGAATCATTCTTTATCAGCCTAAACCATTTTTCCTACGCACCAATAGCTGTTTGGGTGGGATATATGGAAGATTATGATCAGATCTGTGTCTGGGGTAGGAAAAAAGCAAGCTTAGTAGAGAAACGAGTCAGCGTAGACAGGGAGCAATAAATGCCAATTTGTAAAACATCATGAAATTAAGGAAAATTAGCCAGTAGAGCTGTATGATTTTCCAGTACCACATTTGTTAAAATATGTTTGACTTCTATTTCTATAATTACATTGGTATCATACATGACAGGAGGACAGTTAGGAGAATCCATTTCCTGTGCAGTATACAGAAGTCAGAGTCTCTGCTTTGTAGCTATCCCAACTGGTCTCATTTGCCACATCATGGGTAATCTTCTTGTATCCTATCCAAAATTTCTGTGGCGTTAAACAAGAATCATCAAATAGAATTCCACATACATTTATAGAAGATCATCAGTATTCGCTGTTATAGTGTCTGCAGAACTCTGCTAATAGTACAATCTGAAAATCACAGGAACAGTGAGAGGCGGAGGAGAAAGCATTCTGTCCCTCATCTCCTTGCCTTGTCCATCATGGTAGGAAAGAGGCAGGGTTGAATGGAGAATTAATGCTAGCCTGGGAGTCCTGTGATTTTTAATCTAATACACTATTCATGTTTTCGTTCCAAAGAAGCTGGAGAGATTATTGCCAGAGAATACTGACCCTAAAAAATACAAGCTGACCAAAGGTTCTTGTCTCTACCCTGCTCCCTCCCTCTTTTCCACCAATCCCTTATATTATTCATGTCTCCCAAAGTCTCCAAACCACCAAAGCCTGCCCACTCCCACTCTGTAATTGCCTCCTTCTTCCTCTGTGACCCAGTCTCTTCCGGTCTCAAATAAGCATGTTCACAGTCTTAAAATGTTTTAATAGCTATCACATGCAAGGGAAATTAGATTGACTATATTAGCTCAAAAAGCCAGAACTGGGACCTACTGGTACAGATTTTGATCCTACCCTGGGGTCAGATTCATCTTTACTCCAAAAGGAGTAAAGCCACTGCCTGGCAACCAGCAGAGGCAGCTTCAGAAACGCTGACAGAATAAATTTAGAGAATGAAGAAAATAAATAGCAGCCAGAATGAGAAGATTGCACTTGAGAAATATTAAATGTCCTTTTTTTAAAAAAAGAACAAAGGTGGCACAGATTTGAAAAACCAATTCCTTAGAGTTTTGAATTGAACTCCCCTTGCCAAACGTGCTAGAAAAGAATATCTTCCTGCCTCCATTCCCACCCCAAAGAGAAATGGAAAGACTCTGCCAGCAAGACAACACACACTGCAGTGATGTTGTGAGAGGCAGCCAGCACTTTGGAGAAAAGCTGATGATGCCACAGTCTGAAAAAACAAAAGACCTAAGATACTTTCTCTATGGTGCCTTACAAGGATAAGTTGAAAGGGAGTCAGAACATCCTTGGGCATCTTTTACTGCCTCTCTATGAAAAAAACTGGAATCTTCAAATAAGACAAAAGTATATATACAGATAGGCCCCCCGAACAAACATATGAGAGACAGGCAGGCAGGCAGACACTAACTTCAAGTTGATACCCATCCAAGATGGACTCTATGACCTACAGTGTCCCCCACTGAGCAAAATAGTACGCTGCTCTATTGGGGAACCTGCCCCGATATTCATGTAGGTTCTTTTCTATTTTCCTTAAGTGTTGGCCAGCTTGAGAAATAAAGGGACAGAGTACAAAAGAGAGAAACTTTAAAGCCGGGCATCCGGGGGAGACATCACACGTCGGTAGGTCCCGTGATACCCCACAAGCTGCAAAAACCGGCAAGTTTTTATTAGGGAGTTTCAAAAGGGGAGGGAGTGTGTGAATAGGTGTGGGTCACAGACATCAAGTACTTTACAAGGTAATAGACTATCACAAGGCAAGTGGAGGCAGGGCGAGATCACAGGACCACAGGACCGAGGCAAAATTAAAATTGCTAATGAAGTTTTGGCCACCGTTGTCATTGATAACATCTTATCAGGAGACAGGGTTTTGAGATCAACCGGTCTGACCAAAATTTATTAGGTGGGAATTTCCTCTTCCTAATAAGCCTGGGAGCGCTATGGGAGACTGGAGTCTATCTCACCTCTGCAGTCTCGACCATAAGAGACGACCACACCCAGGGGGGCCAGTTTAGAGACCTACCTCCAGGTACACATTCTCTTTCTCAGGGATATCCCATGCTGAGAAAAAGAATTCAGCGATATTTCTCCCATTTGCTTTTGAAAGAAGAGAAATATGGCTCTGTTCCGCCTGGCTCACCGGCGGTCAGAGTTTAAGGTTATCTCTCTTATTCCCTGAACAATTGCTGTTATCCTGTTCTTTTTTCAAGGTGCCCAGATTTCATACTGCTCAAACACACATGCTGTACAATTTGTACAGTTAATGCAATTATTACAGGGTCCTGAGGCGATATACATCCTCCTCAGCTGACAGGATTGAGAGACTAAAGTAAAGACAGGCATAGGAAATCACAAGAGTATTGACTAGGGAAGTGATAAGTGTCCATGAAATCTTAACAATTTATGTTTAGAGATTGCAATAAAGACAGGCATAAGAAACTATAAAAGTATTAATTTGGGGAACTAATAAATGTCCATGAAATTTTCACAATCCACGTTCTTCTGCCATGGCTTCAGCCGGTCCCTCCGTTTGGGGTCCCTGACTTCCCGCAACACTGCTCCACTATACCTGTCCAGAGGCTGCAGACACAGCTGAAGCAAGACACTTAACAGAACTGCCAACAAGAAGAAAGGAAGTAAACAAACTTTTCAGTCATGAAATTGATGAGGAACCAGCTCCATGATTTCACATATAGGTCAAGCTTGCAGTGTTAGTGGCCCAGTGTGAGTTGGACAACAATCAAGTTGTGACTCTAGGTAAAGCCTTTAGACTAAACTGTGCAAATGAGCACATAGCTGGACTGCAAGTAAATCTACAAGTTTCTAATTAAGGCATCAGGAGGAACATCATCTAAGACATAAAGTGTTGCTACCTGTTTTTCTCCAGGGTAGTCAAAGAAGAGGCTCTTTCAGGCTCCGCAAATTCATTTAAATTTTAAATCACATTTATGTTAGCTATACAGGTGTGCCAGCCAAAAGGTGGTAAACCAGTCTTCTGAAAATGGGAAACCATTTTCACCTTATATAGCTAAACTGAAATAATCATTTTTTTAGCAAATATTAGTAAACATTTAAGACAGCAGGGCATTGTGCCAGGAAATTCAGAGAGGGAACCTGCAGCAAGGGGGAAGAGGATGAGAACAACCCACCTCAGACTCCATCCAGCTCCCAGGGCTCAACACCAGGGCAAGAGACTGCAGAACGTCTGATTCAATAACCTCAGGCAGAAAAGGCTGCCTGAATAACAGCATGTTTCATTGAAAATATTCATACTTAGATTTCTATGCAGTGGGACTATCTTCCTTCAGAAGGAACTACCAAATCACATCATACAAAATGGTGGAGTAGGGCACTCAAACAAGTGGTCCCTGAACTAAAATAATAAGTAAGCTAACAAATACTGACACAACCAGCTTTTTCAGAACTCTAGGAGTTAATTAAAAACCTATGATAGTAAGGAATATGCCGAATGAAGAAAAAGGCAGCTGGATTTGAGTAAGAAAGCGCTGGGGTCTTTTCTCTCACTTGCCCACCATGCTCTAACCCCAGCACCATAGGGCAGCCATGGGGATGGTGGCCTGCCCTCCTAGTGTGGCTTGCTGGTATCAGGGAGCTAAAGTAAACCTTATTCTTAAAATACTGCAGGTATGTATTTTGACCTGCCTGGCTGTTCCCTGAGGGGCTGCACAGAGGCTGGTACTTGTTTCATTCCTGCTCCCTTGGGCTGCAGTGGCATTTCAGGCAGCAGTGGCATCTGTTGAAAGATTTCAAGACACACACTACCTATGCCTCGGACAATGGATGGGGAAGCAACAGACAGACCAAAAAGCAGGGAAGGTGGAGGCTAAGAAGGAAGTTTCTAGAGGGAATAAAAACTAGTAAGGGACAGACCAAAAAGCAGGGAAGGCAGAGGCTAAGAAGGAAGTTTCTAGAGGGAATAAAAAATGTATACGCTGTGGAAGCTAGGGTGAAAAATCCATGCCTAGGACTGCCACATGCTTGGAGAAGACCTGAGAGGACCATAGGTTTGCCCCACTGGTGGATCTGTGGGTTCTGCACAGCAGGAGGTGAAGGCTAAGGCAGAGTCATGGGTGACCTGGTTTAGCATTGAGGGAATGACTTAGGTCAGAACTAAGCTGCAAAGACTAGAAAAATGTTTGGTGTTTTGTTTTTTTCTTTTCTTTTTGGTTCCAGACATTTAAGGAAATCCTCTGTCACATAACTGGCTGACCAATGAGATAACAAAATGGAAATGTCAGTAACCATATGTCAACAGAACAGAGGCTTCAGTAATGATACACAGTAAAGAATGCAACCTTTGGAAAAATCACTAAACAGATGGCAGCCCTCAAGAGTCAACAATAATAGACCGTGGTTAGGGGAGAGAATCTGATTTCCAGGGATACCATATAACAATATTCAAAACAACTAGTTTTCAAAAAAAAAATTACAAGGCATACCAAAAAACAAAAAAGTATGTCCCATTCATAGGAAAAAAATAAATTGACAGAAACTATTCCCCAAGAAGCTCAAACACTGGGCTTACTAGACAACAACTTTAAATTAACTGTCTTAAATGGAAATGGAAACATGGACAAAAAAAGTAGAGGAAATAAAGAAAGCAATGTATAAGCAAATAGCTAATATCAGTAAAGAGATAGAAATTATAAAAACGAATCAAACAGAAATTCTTAAATTGAAAAGTTTAACTGAAGTAAAAAATTCACTAAAGGGGTTCAATAGCAGAAGTGAGCAGGCAGAAGAAAGACTCAGCAAATGTGAAGATACTCCTATGCATATTTTATATACTGTTAAATCATACTGAGAAGTAGAAAGAAAAAAGAAGAAAAATAAGCAGAGCCTTAGAGACCTGTGGTATACTATCAAGCATACCAACACATGCAAATGGGAGTTCCAAAAGAAAAACAGAGAGATAAAGAGGCAGAAAGAATATCTGAATAAATTATAACTGAAAACTCCCAAATTTGATGAAAGACATGAATCTACATATCCACAAAGCTCAACAAACTCCAAGTAGGATAAACTCAAAGAGATCTATGTTGAGACATACTATATTCAAACCATCAAAAGCCAATAACAAAAGAGAGAATCTTGAAAACAGAAAGAAAGAGGCAACTTATTATACACAAGCAATCCTTAATAAAATCAACTGCCAATTTCTCATCAGAAACCATGGAGCCCAGAATACAATGGGGTAAAATATTTAAAAAGCTGAAAGAAAAAAAAACTTAACCAAAAATGCTATGCTTGGCAAAATTACTAAAATAAAGGAGAAATGAAGACATTCCCAGATATACAGTAGCTAAAGGAGCTAGGCCTGCCCTATAAGACATGCTAAAGAGAAATACTTCAGGCTGAGAGGAAAGGACATTTCATAGGAACTCAAAGCTATATGAAGAAATAACAATCACAGGTAAAGGTAACCATAGGTAAACATAAAATTCATTATTTACGTATTTTGGGGTTGTACCACTTCTTTTTCCCAGGTGATTTAAAAGACTCGTGCACAAAACAATAACTATAAATCTATATTAATACAATATACAAAGATAAAATTAGTAAAAATAACATAAAGGGGGAACAGAGCTATACAGCAGCAGGGTTCTTATATGCTATTGAAGCTACACTGGCACCATTTCAAACTAGAATGCTATAAACTTGCAATATTAATTGTAATACTCATGGTAAATCAGTAAGAAAATAACTAAAAAGTATACAGAAAAAGCAGTGAAAAGGGAATCAAAAGGGTACACTAGAAAAAAAAATCAAACACAAAAGAAAGCAGTATTAGATGTTAAGTGAAAGCAGCCAGGCATAAAAGGTTACACATATTGTCTTAGTCCATTTTGTATTGCTATTAAAGAATATCTAAGACTGGGTAATTTATAAAAAAAAAAAGAGGCTTATCTAGGCCACAGTTTCGCAGACTGAGGAGTTCAAGGACATGTCCCTGGCATCTGACAAGGGCTTTCATGCTGCATCACAACATGAGATGGAGAGTGGGAAAGAAGGTCAAAGTGGAAACAGATATGTGCAAAAAGAGGGAAATGCAAAGGATGTCTTAAGGGAGTTAACAACTGACTCCCGTGAGAACTAATCCTTTCTCATGAAAATTAATCCATTCTCCTAAAAATGAGAACTCACTCACTACTGGGAGAACAGTACCAAGACATTCATGAAGGATCCACTCCCGTAACCCAAACACCTTCCAGTAGGCTCCACTTCCCAATACTGCCATGCTGGGGTTCAAATTTCAACATGTGTGTGTCGGTGGAGGCAAACAAACCATATCTAAACCATAGCACACACTGTATGATTCCATTTACATGAAATAATCAGAGTGGGTAAATCCATAGAGACAGAAAACAGACTGGTGATTTTGAGGGGAAAGAGTTGAGTTACTGTTTAATGGATACAGGATTTTAATTTGGGGGTAATGAAAATGTTTTGGAACTAGACAGAGGTGGTGGTTGCAAAACATGAATGTACTAAATATACTGAATTGTTCACTTTTAATGGTTAGTTTTATGTTATGTAATTTTTACCTCCATAACAAAAAGTAAGCTGGGGCAAAAAAAAGTAATGACTTCTAATTTTGTTTTCATTCTGCTTATGGTAAAAAAGAAAACAACCACACTTATTTCTTTTAAGAACAGACTGAATAAAAGTACTTTTTCTAAAGAGATAGCAGAAGTAGTTTTGGCTACCTCAGCCTTATCTCTACTCAGAAAACCTTAATTCAGTTGCAAATCCATTTTGAGGTTTTACTACCTTGAACTAGTCTCCCTGAAAGCAAAGTTAAATGTATATACAGTTGTCATAATGCCTTTTGGTGTTGTCAAAAGACTCAGAGTTTAACATATGTAACAAAAAAAAGGAAAAACACCAAAAATACCCACATTTAGCCCCCACAACATCAAATGATAATTGTCATAATTAACTCCTATATTTCCAATAGCAAAACTTAGCTTGGAATCATTCATTTAAAAACTAATATTCTGGCCGGGCGTGGTGACTCACGCCTGTTATCCCAGCACTTTGGGAGCCTGAGGTGGGTGGATCACCTGAGGTCAGGAGTTTAAGACCAGCCTGGCCAACTTGGTGAAACATCATCTCTACTAATATATATATATACACATACATACACACACACACACAAAAAATTAGCCGGGCATTGTGGCAGGTGCCTGTAGTCCCAGCTACTTGGGAGGCTGAGGCAGAAGAATCACTTGAACTGGGAAGTATAGGTTGCAGTGAGCCAAGATTGTGCCACTGCAATCCAGCCTGGGTGACAGAGCAAGACTAGGTCTCAAAAAAATAAAAAATAAAAATAAACAAATAAATGACGAATTAATAAAAACTAATATTCTTAAGATTCAATAATTAAAATGTTCCAAGAAACACCTTCCCGGGGAGTATAAATACCTAAATTATACAATGACAATACTTGAATACATGAAAGTAAACTAGCATTGCCCTGGGTAAACATTTTATAAATTTGGCCTGCAATCCCTTGATGTTCTTTCCATTGGCCAGTAGAAACTAAAAAAGAGAAACAGCATTCTTAACGTTAAAATTTTAAGCCTTATATATATTTTATAAATATATATTTATATATTCATTTTATAAAATATATTATGAACATATTTTATTATAAGTATATATAAGGCTTAAAAATCAAGCTCTGAGACAGGAGTGGTGGTGTGCATCTGTAGTCCCAGCTAGCTACCCAGGAGGCTGAGGCGGGAGGATTCCTTGAGCCCAGGAGTTCAAGTCCAGCCTGAGCAACATAGTAAGACCCCCACCTCTAAAATAATAATAATAATAAAAACAAATAAGCTCTGGGTTACAGAACCTATTCAATATGCTTGTTACATGCATCCATGGTTTCTGGAATTTAAGACAGAGGTACAGACTTATTTGGATGAGGCTCTTACATGGCACAGGCACAACAAGTCCCATATCCTTGGCCACATTTCACACATATTGCTAAGCAGACCAGAAAGAAAGTCATGTACCAGGGATTGAAAGTATGCCCCTACCATCTCTGCACCTGAGGAAAAAAAAGTCATCCAAATTCTGATCTACATGTTCTTTTTTAATATTTATTTTTAGAGACAGGATCTCCCTATGTTACCCAGGCTGACTTGAACTCCTGAGCTCAGGCACGCCTCCCTCCTCAGCCTCCCAAGTAGCTGGGACTACAGGTGTGTGCCACCATGCCCACCTTTGACCTATGTATTCTAAAATACCACTCAAAAAAGTTGAATAATCTGTTTTGACTTAGAGACAGGTTGATATAATCCTATCAACTGGTTACTAACCTGAATGCCAATGCTTATTAGGAAATAGTTCCCCTGCCCTGTGAAGGAAAATCTTGGGTTCACTGCTGCACCACACTGTGCACGGGGACCTCCGCCTACCGGGGACTCTGCCTTCGTTGCTGGCCACAGCCTTTGTTGCTTCTGCTGCCTTGTACATCTGGGCTCTGGAAGGATTCACAGCCACACTGCTCCTGGTCTCGACGGCTTTTTTTTTTTCAATCTCTGATGCCACAGAAAGTTATTTTCTTAATTCTATAACATTCTGGACCCAAGTGTAGATCTTCTTGACTATTTGCAATATTTCATTTTGTCTTAAATGTCAATCTTCTTTTAGTTAAAGCTCTCTCGCATTCAAGAAAATCAGTTATGTCCCATGTTACCGCAAGGAAAAAGGTATATGGTCACTAGATTCACAGAAGAAAATGAAAACCAAGTCTCAGGAATCCAGGTAGCAATTGGGATGTGGAAAAATCTTTCACATCTCTTGGATGATACCTCTGCTTCTCTCTGGGGATCTTTCTATATCTGCTTGATCAACTGGCTCCTTCTGGCTACCTGGTTTTGGATGCACAAGACCCATCAGAGCCAAACCCATCAGACTTCATCTGGCATTCCAGCTCCAGTAACCACTGCCCGCTGGCAACTGCTCTCTCTGGCTTGAACAGTTTCTTAGGGCGTTCTTACTGGTACAGCTTGTCTCTGAGCCAGTCTATCTCAGACTTCTACCAGCAGACCTACAAACGGGCATCTCCTGACAGTAACAGCCACAGTGCAATCGCTGAAGAGGGGCAAGATCATGTGACCAACTGCCCACTCCAGAAGAGGCGTGGGTGAGGAAGGAAATGATGACATCAAATATTGCTACATTTTATCTAATTTCATATTCTCTCTTACAACCTAATCAATATTTAAGGCCATTTACAGGTAACTTATTTTATTGTAAGTAAAGATCTTTCTTGTAAAGTAGGTAAAGACCTTTACTTACAAGAAAGTAAATTACCACAGCCATTATTCATCTTCTAATTTCTTCAGTTTTTGTTTGTTTGTTTTTGTGAGACAAGGTCTGGCTCTGTTGCCCTCCCAGACTCAGGCCATCCTCCCACCTCAGGCTCCCGAGGAGCTGGGATTACAGGCGCCTGCCACCACACTAGCCTAATTTTTGTATTTTTTGTAGAGACGGGGTTCCATCATGTTGCCCAGGCTGGTCTCAAACTCCTGAGTTCAAGCAATCCACCCACCTCGGCCTCCCAAAGTGCTGGGATTACAGGCGTGAGCCACCATGCCTGGCCGTCTAATTTCTATAGTTTCTAATTAAACTTCAGAATATTTTCCCCTCATTCTGTCACAGTAACTCTTAAAAGTTACAGGTTTGACAATGGTTTTAAATCACTTATGGTTAATAAAAATTCCTATTGAGGAGACCTCCACAAATGTCTTTCTTCTCAGCAAATGGCTAGAATAGAGGCAAAACTCAAAGCAGTCCTGTATACTATGGGATACAATAAAGTTCTATAGCCAGACAGTAATCAGGTCGAAGATTGCTTCATCTCTATATATCACCCAAACAACAGGTCTAGAACAAAGAGAATTCTAGTTCAGAAAAAGTAGCTGGTCTGCGATCCTTGAAACAGATAATGTCGGATGCAACTCTACAATCATGGGATAAAAGCCAGTGGCCCAATGCACCTCAGTGGCACACAAAAGATGATGGATGATGAGGCCGTGTGAATATTACATCAGGTGTCAAGGTTAAATTGAGACATTTGTACTCTAGTTCATTTTAATTGCAAAGCTGACTTAAAGAATACCTCTCCCATCTGCAAACTCATAAATGAGATTTGCCCAGCAATCGAAGAAAAAGTTCAATTCAAACTGTAGGGAAACAGCAAACTTGAAATAACTTATAAGAAAGAAAATTAAATTAATATTGATGCTAAAGTCACTCCTGCATTGAATTAACTTTCAGAAGGATTAGGCTGAATTTTATTAAACCTACGCATTCAGGTGCTGCATTGGCTTTGGAATTATTCAAAATTGAATTTGAATCCTGGCTCTGCCATGTCCCACGTATGTGATCTGGGCCAAGATAGTTATCTTATCTGAGCCTTAATGTCCTCAAATCTGCCAAGCAGAGCCTCTACACTGCATTTCAGATGCCTGTGCAGGTGCCCTGAGATGATCACCTAGTGGTATTCACACAATGCACAGGGAAGGGCAGCCATCAAATATCCATCTCCTGCTCCCTTTCTGCTATTTCAGTTCCAGATGAACCCCTTTCCTTTGCATTCGGGCTGATGCCACCCATCCATTTACTGACAGGGTGCTTGGAAATGACATAACACATGCATATAAAGATCTCATTGATATTCTAAAAGGATGCTGCATGCAAATATGACAGTTTACCCAAAGACACCTTCAGCACAGACCCAGGCTTCCTTAAACCTTTCAGGTGCTCAGATCCACCGGCTAATAGTGTTTCAAGGACCATCTGTAGCCTAAAAACAATGTTGCCAAGGGCTCATTTCTCACCCCCAGATTGGATTACTCACTAATTCATTTTAGGCCCAGTGATTATGAATTTATGTTTCCCTGAATAATTGTTTCTGTCTGCAGTGGCTCACTGTTCATTTACAGTCAGCTTTTTGACAGTCACAGGATGATTTCAAGAATATAATATTATACCAAATAATCCAAAAATCAAAAGACCTCTTCCCTGTTCGATAAAATAAAGAAAAAAAATATTCGCTAGGTAAAGTTAGAACATCAAAGTTAATCAGAGAGTCAGAATCCCATATAGAATCAGTCAAAAGTTAGGCTTAAATCAACCACATGCTAAGCCTATGAATTCTTTTTTCTTAAAAATGGGGAAATTATCAGGGGCAACGATAAAACATCGCCAAGAATGTAGCCCACAAAACAACTGGGGTGTGAGCTTCCTTTGTCTCCTGGTTAACCTCTGCACACTCATCATGGCAAGTAATGAGAGTAAATGTGTATAACAGCGCTTACAATATGCTATGTACTCTTCTAGAAATCTGCATATATTAACTCACTTTTATCCTCACAATAATGCTATGAGGTAGATGTTATTATTAACACCATTTTACAGATGGGAAGGTCCAGGCAGAGACAGCTTAGGTAATTTGCTCCTGGTCAGAGAGCTAGAAAGGACTAGAACCAGGATTCAAATCTAGGCAATCACACTTCAGAATTCTTAAGTTAATCACTACCTAATGCTGTCTCTAGTGTCCTAGGAAACAGATACTCAGTCCCTAAGATCCTCATTGTTCTTACTACCCATCTCTAAATGAATGATTTCATGTGTATAAATCACAGCTTCCCATAATCACTTAAATTAACATCTCATCCTTTCTACTCATGTTTGAATCCGATGCTTATTTTTGAAAAATCTTTATATAACAACAAATTTACTCATCACTCTCCAAGAATGTGCTGAATCAGATTTCAACACCCACTGGAAGGTTAAAAAGTAGGTACTCTGGGTAGGTCACACTATCCATGATTCAGATAATAGATCTCATCTCTTTTAATTTTTGCTTTCCCCAAGTAATACAAGGAAAGACCGTCTCTCCAGAGCTATGCAAATTGGTTTTAATCCTTCTTAAGTTCATAATCTTTTTCTCACCCTTTACTTAAGTCAATTTTTACTTTATTAAGTATATATTTGAGATATTACAAGTTAATGAGCAAGAAAGAAAAAAACAATCTTAGGTTCCTCTCAAAAATCTATATAAGTAATGACAATCAAAAACAAAAATTGTGTGGCTCTACCACAATGAAAACACCAGTCAATAAGCAAATGGATGAATATCAGCGGAATCAATAAAGGTACAAAGAGAGAAATAATTTTGACCTTTAATAATACCATGAATTATTTTAAGCTAATGTACACACCTAGACTTGGTAGGGGTAGCCTCGGCAGTGGCAGGTTTTTTGGGTGTGGAAGAGTAGTAGAACAGATGGTTCCTGTGGTCCGTATCTGATAGGCAGGCCAGGCTGTGTTCCTGGGTCAGAGCACCTGTGCATCACAATATCCTTGAGCTTCAAGGAACCTGCATTCCAATAGAGGAATCTAAATACCATACCCACATGTAGTGAACTCTGTCTCTGTCTCTCAGAGACGCACGTGTGAACACAGACACAAATGGGCCATCATTACAGGCTTATTAAAATGAAGAATCCCCTATATCTGTAACTTCCCAGTTCTCAAGAGCTGAGTTGTTGATATGCAAGCTACGCTCCCACTTCTCCATTCCATGACCATCGAATAAAGTCTGCACTGCTTGGCACTCACTTTTGGTTTTATGTATTGTCTTCATGAAGCCAAACAGGAAAGAGTCCCTTTTGGGGTAACCGGGATCCCCAGTAGCAGCATTTCCACGTATAGTATTGTTGAATTTACCTTAGCAAATGTGTGGAATATTACCAAGTTGTTGTGACAGCCCCTGCTCTTAAAGAGGTATTGTTTAATGAGGGAATATTTCCAGCTTTGTGACTTGGTTTATTGCTTCATATCTGAACATACTCTCTTTTTTTTTTCCTTCTATGTTTTCCACAATTCAATAATTTGTCATCTTTAGTTAACCTGGAGCACCCTTTTATGTTTGTTTTAGGTTTACAGTGTGGGATTTAAATTTTGGCTCCAAACTGCCATCTCTCTCTGCCAACATCATTCGTAAAAAGTTCTTCTGTCTTATTTGAGAGTGTGATTTGATATTAAAATTGATCCAACTTGCTTGCTAGCTATTTCTCAACTGCCCTCTGGGTGTCTATTCATTTACATCAGCCCGGGTACCACCCTGCCTTAAGGACTGGTGTTTTAAATTGGGCTCTAGTGGTTGATGGGTTAAATACTCTGTAGGTGCATTGTTACAGAATATACCATTGGACTTTGGGGCCCATTTATATTCCACATGAATTTCAGAATCACACAAACGTTGAAATGAAGATGATCTTTCTCACTTTAAGGAAGAAAACTCACACATGAGGAGGCATTCAAATATAAAATTGGTGAAAGGAACCCACTGGCTTCTCCCACTCTACCCAAGTTAAGAAAAAAGAAATAGACTTTGTGGAAGTCTTTCACAAATTCTGATATTTAGAAGAGCTAAACTTGTCCAACATAAAGGGCCTGATAGTAAAAGATTTTTTGTTCCTTTCTTACTGTGTACTATTACTAATAGAAACAACTGGCTTCAACTTGTTCTAGTTCATTAAAAATAAAAGGGAAAAAATGGCTAATAGCAAATTCAAGAGGGTAGCTTGGCTCTTAGTAATTTAATTCTAAATGTAATAACATGCTTATTAGAAATGGAAGGTCACTCTCCCAAAAATTTCCCTAAAGGCACAGCTGCCAAATTGACTTCTGATCTAGCCTTTACAGTATTATTAATTCAATGACATCACAAAGCTGGCAAGGGAAAGCTTCACGCTTGCCCTACAAAGACAGATAGCAGTGCCTTAGAGAGGTCCTTACAAGTTTCTTAGGAAAGTGACTTGAAAAAATAAAAGTCAGCTTACTTTTTCTTTTTCCCCCACCATCCTGATAAAGGACTACGAACGCTTTTCTCTCGCTTTTGGGAAAAGCCTACCGAACTGGATTTCCCACTTATTTGCCTTACATCTTTGCTCTGCCTTCATGCATTTGCAGCAAAGCATTCTCTTTCCAGTGGTGTAGAGATAGCTTATCTCAGGGCAAGCCCCTGGGATTTGGTCTAAGGTTAATACTGGAGAAAGGGCAGAGCATCCTCCAACGTTCCCCCAGCTCAGACAGACAACCATTGAAAGGCGCCTGGCATGCAGTTGGCCTCAAAACCTGACTTGGCAGCAAACTCTAATTAAATGAAACTCGATCGCAGAGTGCTTGTTGATCTTAACTTGCCTAAAGTTCCAGACTTGGACAGCAGGTTGAAACCTGCTATGATCATAATCAGCACAATCGATAGCTTTTAGAAAGAACTTTTTCTAAATAGATTTCAAAGGGTCACCTCCTACTATCTGTAACTCGAATCAAACGACCGTTTGCAAGACTGCCTGGAGTGACTCACTGGCTCTTCCAGGGAGTGAAGAGCTTGCACATACATAACCTTCTGAGGGAGACGATTTCTTAGGCAGCTTTTGCTGAAATAGATCATTCCATTTTTACCATCAACCTTCCTTTCCTCCTATGATAGGCCCTGCTACCTTTAATATTTCACAAATGCCAACAAGTAAATAATGGTGTAATAATATCATCAAATCTTACCTAGGTAGCAATACCCTTCATCCACAGCTCACCAGGAGCAGACTACAGTAGTACCAGGTTGAGTTTATTGACTCTTTGTAATCAGGGAGCCAGCAGGTGGGAAACTATGGGGTGGCTCTGAGCAAAAGAGCTGTAGGAGGGAATTTGGGCTCTTGTTAGATGATTTTGGGGAAAGTTCAGAGAAGTATGGTTTTGCTCTGGATTTGGCAGTGTCTGAAAGCAGAGGCAAATCTGTGACTGAATCTCTTGATAATTTTATCTGGAAGATAGGAAAAGCAAACAAAGTGAAGCTAACTCTTTTATTATTTTTTGAGACGGAGTTTCACTCTTGTCATCCAGGCTGGAGTGCAATGGTGCGATCTCTGCTCACTGCAACCTCTGCCTCTCAGGTTCAAGTGATTCTCCTGCCTCAGCCTCCCAAGTAGCTGGGATTACAGGTGCGCACCACCACCCCCGGCTAATTTTTATATTTTTAGTAGAGACGGGGGTTTCACCATATTGGCCAGGCTGGTCTCGAACTCCTGATCTCAGGTGATCTGCCTGCCTCGGCCTCCCAAAGTGCTGGGATTACCGGTGTGAGCCACCGTGCCTGGCCAAAGCTAACTCTTTAAAAAGTCAAGAAGTAGCAGTCACTCATATGAAGCAAGGGGAATGTCTGGTCATTTTTGGTGGTCTGGACACAGGTAATTCTAGAGGCACATCTGCCTCTATGGTAACACTTTTAAATTCTAAGTTTTCAAGTAATACAACTTAGATAATTTTTAGTGACAGCCAAATATCTGTTAGCTGAGGCAATCAATCAGGAGTTCATCACCTCTAAGTTATTAAGAAAAGAGTGTGCACGTCCCTACCAGTGGCCTTGGTGCCAAGTTGCCCAATCTACTCAAATCTTTCTACTAGTTTTTAATGCTTCCCTGAGTTCACTACTCCAATCTGTAAAACTGAAATTCTTTAGAAGATGATACTGTCAATTAAATACAATGGAAGAACCAAAAGTAACGTTACCTCCATCAAACTAACAAAACCTAAAAGGCAAAAGACAGGTCTCCCAAATATTTTGCAGAATGACAATCTGCTACTTCTGGGCCAGGTTTCATTTGTAGCAACTGCTCATTTTAAAGAGAAAATATGTACTAAATTACGTGTTAACGCACACAGTAGGTATTTCCTGAATGACCAAAGTCAAGCATTACATAATATGTTTTAACAAGGTCATCAGACTTCATTTTACCCAAAGATTCTAGAGTAAAAGTATCTGTTTAACACCAACATTTGTGTGTTACATAGATCATAAATATTTTCTTCCCATTACAAAAATTGCAAACTAGTGTGGTTGCAGCCAGCATCTAATCCAAGATTTATTTGGGCTATGCAGTACAGATTTCTGTCTCTTCTTGAAAAATCAGGAGTTCTGGAACACTGGGCCTGAATTCCTACAGGAAACAACTGCTTGGCAATGAGTAGTGGCTGAACATGCTCTGCTGCTGGTGACAGTCCCCATCTGGCCCATGAAAGACATTTATGTTGCTGTCTCACCCCCCCAGGCATCTGAGCGTGTAACTCCTGCTTCACGGAGAGGGACCCCGGGGCACAGAGTCAGTATCTGAGACAGGAGGGAAGAGATCACTGATGTATAGCAATGTGCTCACTAAACCATTCTCAGCCTCCTACACACCTCCAGACAAGGCAAAAGAGGATACAGACAGCTCCTCCTCTTATTTTGCACTTTGGTTTCCTGACCTGAACACCAAACTCATTTCATGTGGCTTTCTGGAGTTATAAAGTCAGTGTGTTAGGTCTTAAGTCTAGGCTTTTCCCCAACTCCCCTGGACAATATATATCCCGAATTAATGAAGAAAACTATCTGTCTTTTTTTTTTTTTTTTTTTTTTTTTTTTTGAGACAGAGTCTCGATCTGTCACCCAGGCTAGAGTGCAGTGGTGCAATCTTGGCTCACAGCAACCTTCATCTCCTGGGTTCAAGCGATTGTCCTTCCTCAGCCTCTGGAGTAGCTAGGATTACAGGCATGCACCACCATGCCCAGCTAATTTTTGTAATTTTAGTAGAGACAGGGTTTCACCATGTTACCCAGGCTAGTTTTGAACTCCTGGCCTCAAGTGATCCACCCACCTCGGACTCCCAAAATGCTGGAATTACAGGTGTGAGCCACCACACCCAGCTGAAGAAAATATATCTTTTTTTTTTTTTTTTGAGACAGAGTCTCACTCTGTTGCTCAGGCTGGAGTGCAGTGGCACGATCTCAGCTCACTGCAACCTCTGCCTCCCATGCCCAGCCAGAAAATGTATGTTAATAATAGGTTACAAATCTCAATGATCTGAATCCATTGGGACTTTTAAGTTTTAAAAAAATCAAACTTTGGCTGGGTGTGGTGGCTCACGCCTGTAATCCCAGCACTTTCGGAGGCCGAGGTGGGCAGATCTGAGGTCAGGAGTTCAAGACCAGCCTGGCCAACATGGTCAAACTTTGTCTCTATTAAAAATACAAAAATTAGCCGGGCATCATGGCACACACCTGTAATCCCAGCTACTTGGGAGACTGAGGCAGAAGAATCACTTGAACCCAGGAGGCGGAGGTTGCAGTGAGCTGAGATCATGCCACTGCACTCCAGCCTGGGCGACAGAGTAAGACTCCATTTCAAAAAACAAAAAAAAATCCAACTTTAAGTAATAGTGTGATTCACTAGGGAATCACTTCATTTTGCTAATGTGAGCACTTGAGCACTGTCAGCTACTGTTCTCCATGCATTTACGTGTGTAAACCTATTTGGTCCTCATGGTGTTCCTGAGTACTGATGGTGTCCATATTTTACAAAAAGGACACGAAGGCATAGGGTTTCAGCGATGGGTCCAAGGTTACACAGGGGGAGTCAGATTCAACCAGGCACTGGGACCCTGCCTGTGAATTCCTATCCCATTTGTTGAAAGACTCTTGGAAATAACAAGTGCAGTTGTATTTGGAAAGACGAGCTTGTTTATTTACATACATTGAAATCTAGTGACATCTCACAAGTTGGCAAAGTGACCTGAACTCCAATTCATTCTGCCCATTTGCACACGAATATTTCTAAAACCACATAAGGTACGTATCCCATTCACTAAAGTTTTATAAGTGATTCATTTAAACTACAGAAAATACATTGTCAATAATTGTATTGCAAGATCTAATCATGTACTTTCGGGTTTTTTGCTTTTTTTTTTTTTTAAAGAGATTTAGTTTGGGGCCACAAGCTTGGGAAGCAAACTACTGATGCTTAAGGTCAGTAAGGAATCTGTGAGACCATTCCCAGTTAGAGGCATCAGATAGCTGCTCGACCATCAACTCCTCTGGAGTGTCTTACCTCTCTACTGTGGGGAACAGCACAGTTGAGGGAGCATCTTGTTTCAACAACTGCAGAACTTCACTATTTCCTACCATCTCCAGTTCAACTGCAACAATAATAATGTTCTAAATGACATTAAGAGCTCCACTGATGGCTGGGTGTGGTGGCTCACGCCTGTAATCCCAAAACTTTGGGAGGCCGAGGTGGGTGGATCACCTGAGGTCGGAGTTCGAGACCAGCCTGGCCAACATGGCAAAACCCTGTCTCTACTAAAAATACAAAAATTAGCCAGGCGTGGTGGCAGATGCCTGTAATCCCAGCTACTTGGGAAGCTAAGGCAGGAGGATTGCTTGAACCCAGGAGGCGGAGGTTGCAGTGAGCTGACATTGTGCCACTGCACTCAGCCTGGGTGACAGAGTGAGACTCTGTCTTGAAAGAAAAGAAAAAAAGAAAAAAGAACTCCACTGAAGAAACAAGGACATCAGACCACCCACCATGGGTGAGTGCCTACTTCCTCAATGTAGAATGTAAAACTCTTCTAAGTCTTCTAACCCTCAGACAACCAACCACTTGTAAAAAAACACTTAGTCTCACTAAGAGATTAACCCAGTCTTTTTCCACCTGTCCACATCACCCTTCGGTACACTGGGCAGTTAACATAACCCTGGATGAGTACCAATTTTGGAGACTTCTGTTGAAAACAGTTGAATGCCAACAGATATCCCAAAGAGAGCACCTATAAGTGGGAAAATTCTCAGGATCACAGCAGCATCAAAATAAGTATCACTGATGGGCATTTCTATGTACCACCTGCACAGCGTCACACACAGGAAGACTTGGGGGGACTGTCTCCCCAGTGACAATGAAGGCAGAAAGGCGAAATAAAGGGAGATGACCTTCTATGTCTATATCTACAGTCCAAGGGCACAGACTAAGGACAGAACTCTCCCACTAGCAGGACTGTCCACCCAGTAGGAAACCCAGTACCGCCCACTGTCTGGTGATGAAACTCCCATATTTTATGTCCTGTAAAGCCAAAGGATGGCCTAGTGACTCAGTGCAATGACTTAACATCATAACAACTGTCTTCAAAACTCTACCAAGGGCAGGGCACAGTGGCTCACGCCTGTAATCCTAGCACTTTGGGAGGAGGCCAAGGCGGGCAGATCATTTGAGCCCAGGAGTTTAAAACTATCTGGGCAACATGATGAAATCCCATCTCCATAAAAATTACAAATATTAGTCAGGCATATGGCACACATCTGTGGTCCCAGCCACTCGGGAGGCTGAGGTGGAAGGATCACCTGAGCCCAGGAAGTCTAGGCTGCACTGAGCCCTTATCGTGCCACTGCACTCCAGCCTGGGTAATAGAGTGAGACCCTGTCTAAAAACCAAAAAATAAAACAAAACAATGACAGCAAAAACTCTGCTACCGTCCTTAGAAGCAACTCACTGAAAGGTATTCTATGAATGAGCAAAAAAGAACTGCTTTCTTTTCAAACCTAAAAAGAGCTTTGTTGGATTTTGAGGCAAACAACAGTTTCTGAGGGGCATTCTCCCTCATGCCTTACCTTCACAGTGTACAGGGAGGAAAGCAAATGTCCCCACCTTTCCCTCACCTTTCTTCCCAAGGCCAGCTCCTCCAGAGGTATCCCATTCACCTGGTTCTCTCTCTCTCGCCAGCATCCAGTCAGCACCTAATTGATGCCAATCACACCTCTTCACTCTGAAAGCTAACCCTTACCCTCTATCCTGAGTAAGTCTACCTTAGCTCATATGCTTATCCTCCTCTGCCTGAAAAGTTGGAACAGATTTCATTTGGCTTCTCTACATCTTCTCTCCTATTCCACCACAATCTCCACATTGCCAAAGTTATGTTGCTGAAGCAAGCATTCATGCATTCATTTAAGCAATTTATTAAATACCCATTGTGTGCGGTCTGCTCTCCTGATTAAGGAGACAACAGCAAAAACAAAAACAAAAATCTTGTTTTTAATTTAACTTTTATTTTAAAGTTCAGGATTACATGGGCAGGTTTGATATATAGGTAAACTTGAGTCATGGGGGTTTCTTATACATATTATTTAATCACCTAGGTGTTAAGCCTAGTACCCATTAGTTGTATTTTCTGATCCTGTCCTTCCTCTCACTCTCCACCCTCCAGTAAGCCCCAGTGTCTGTTGTTCCCCTCTATGTGTCCATGTGTTCTCATCCTTTAGCTCCTCCTTATAAATGAGAACATGTGGTATTTGGTTTTCTGTTCCTACATTAGTTTGCTAAGGCTAATAACTCCAGCTCCACCCATGTTCCTGCGAAGGTCATGGTCTCATTCTTTTTTATGACTGCATAGTATCCCATGGTGTATATGTACCACCTTTATCCAGTCTGGAAAGGACTCCCTATTCAATAAACGGTGCTGGGATAACTGGCTAGCCATATGCAAAAGATTGAAACTGGATCCCTTCCTTACACCATAGACAAAAATTAACTCAGATGGTTTAAAGACTTAAACAAAACAAAAAACCTTCCTGGACCTGAAGACGTTTACAATCCAGCAGGGAAGAGTGATTGCACTGAAACAGAGCACTGTAACAGAAGATGTAGATTGTGATGAAGTACACAGCAGGAGGTCATGACCTAGTGAAAAGTCTGAAGGAACATCCTGGGGAAGGGATGATTCAGCAGAAATCTAAAGCTTAAGAAATCATTAGGTACAGGTGGGAGTGTGGGCAGTGATGAAGAACATTCCAAATAAAAGGAAGAATGGCACAGTCAGTGCAAGGACAAGAGACACAATCCAGGAACTGAAAGAATCTCAGCAGAGCCAAAAGGCAGAGTGCGCTTTAAAAACTCTACTGAAAGAAAATCAGGAACTTTCCTATGCACCAATAAGAGCCAGTTAGAAAATCAAGGAAATTACGTATTTCTCACAAACTCAAAGAAAATAATTATGTAACAACACAAGTTTACACACAGAAGAAATTATCTTAACAACAAAGCAGTGGAAATGACATGGAAAAGATGATCACATACAACCAACCTTGTTCTGAATAACATGTTTAAATGAAAAATATCCTAAATTTTTTGAGGAGAAAGATGAGATACGTTTTAAAAAATAAGAATAAGGAAGAGGGAGGTCTAGCATTAATAAACATTAAAATATGTCATAAAGTTTGAATCACTAAGTCTGTGACGCTGGCACAAGACTGCTAATAGAACCAATGAGCCACAGAACAACCCCCAGCATAC